>NC_000012.12:109429824-109581340 GCF_000001405.40 Homo sapiens
GTAACGAAACACTACACTGGGTGGCTTCTAACCAACAGAAACTTTTCACAGTTCTGGAGGATGGGAAGTCCAAGATCAAGGCACTGGCAGACTCAGTGTCTGGTGAGGGCCAGCTTCCTTGTTTGTAGATGGTGCCTTCTCGCTGTGTCTTCACATAGTTGATGATGTAGTCATAAGGGCACTAATCTCATTTATGAGTGCTCCACCCTTGTGACCTGATCACCTGTCAGAGGCCCTGCCTCCTAACACCATCACATTGGGAGTTAGATTTCATCATATGAATTTTGTGGGGACACAGACGATCAGTCCATAGCATTCAGGGAACATCAATCAAGGCAGGAAAGCCTGGAGGTGGGAGCAGGCTCTAGGGCAAGCTGAGAGGCCAGCGTGGCAGCTGGTCAGTGGCTGGGGACAGAGGCAAGGGGAGATTCACGGGATCGAGCTGGAGATAGCCAAACCCCGTGCACCTGCCTGGCACCACTTCCCTTGATCAGGGAGCAACCATATCATAGAGTTGAAGACATAAGGTACTAGTCCCTCCAACCTGCAGGCATTTAGGGCCTCTCCCCAGCCCCTCCATATCTGTCTAGCTTTGGCGGTGCATGCTGGTATTGCGCAAGGTCTGCATGGATGAAAGCAGGGCCTGAGGCTGTGCTGTGTCCCCTGGGGGTGGTGGAGACCCTATCTTCTCCAGCTTTCACTGGAGTTCAGGAAGCACACATCCTGCACCTTTGTGTAGGTGGCTGAACAGAGGAAGAACATGGGACACTCGATACCCTTAAAGAACATGCTCATAAATTCCAGGAAAATAAAAATATTTTTCACTGGACATGGTAGCTCATGCCTGTAATCCCAGCACTTTGGGAGGCCGAAAAGTGATCACCTGAGGTGAGGAGCTTGAAACCAGCCTGGCCAACGTGGAGAAACCCTGTCTCTACTAAAAATACAAAAATTAGCTGGGCGTGGTGGCACATGCCTATAATCCCAGCTACACAGGAGGCTGAAGCAGGAGAATCGCTTGAACCCAGGAGGCAGAGGTTGCAGTGAGCTGATATCGCACCACTGCACTCCAGTCTGGGTGACAGAGTGAGCTCTGTATCAAAAATATATATACATGTATTTTTTTTAACAGTTTAAAATCGGATTTTAGAACGTGGGAGGTGGAGCTTGCAGTGAGCCGAGATCGCACCACTGCACTCCAGCCTGGGAGACAGAGCGAGACTCCATCTCAAAAAAAAAAAAAAAATCTGATTTTAAAATAAACATAATATGAGGCCAGGCACGGTGGCTCACACCTGTAATCCCAGCGCTTTGGGAGGCCGAAGTGGGTGGATCACGAGGCCAGGAGATCGAGACCATCCTGGCTAACACAATGAAACTCCGTCTCTACTAAAAAATACAAAAAATTAGCCAGGTGTGGTGGCGGGCACCTGTAGTCCCAGCTACTCGGGAGGCTGAGGCAGGAGAATGGCGTGAACCTGGGAGGCGGAGCTTGCAGTGAGTGGAGATTGTGCCACTGCACTCCAGCCTGGGTGACAGAGCAAGACTCCGTCTCAAAAATAAATAAATAAATAACATAAATATAATAAGAAAGGAAGGAGCATATTGGGAACACCACTGCTAGCACTCATTGAGTCTTGGACTGGGACTAAATACCTAGTGTGTATTATCTCGTTTAAACCTCATGAGAACCCCATGAGGAAGGTCCTGTTACTGTTCATGTCACACAGGTGAGGCAGCGACTCCTCCCGCTCCGGAGCTGGGCTGGAACCCAGGCATTCTGTTTCTACGCCAGTGGCTCCGGTTGTGCTGCTTCCAGCCTTGATCCATCTGCACTTCTGAATTCTGCGTTCAGTTGTTTCATTATACTACAGACATCACGGTTCTCTTTCTAGGGACTGCAGGGTAGAAGGGAACTGCATGCTGGAATCAGGTTCTTAACACTGGAGCCAAAATTACCCCTGGGGGACGGGGGAAGCCCTCATCACTTCCCAAGCATGGAACCCTTTCTTTCTCTTCTCTACTCTTTCTTGAGACAGGATCTCTGTTACCCAGGCTGGAGTGCTCCCTGAAGCCTCAACCTCCTGGACTCAAGCGATCCTCCTGCCTCAGCCTCCTGAGTAGCTGGGACTACAGCCGCACACTGCCACACCTGGCTAAAAAAAAAATTTTTTTTTTTTTTTTTTTTTTTTTTTGAGATGGAGTCTTGCTCTGTCGCCCAGGCTGGAGTACAGTGGCGCAATCTCGGCTCACTGCAAGCTTCGCCTCCCAGGTTCACACTATTCTCCTTCCTCAGCCTCCCCAGTAGCTGGGACTACAGGTGCCCGCCACCATGCCTGGCTAATTTTGTTTTGTATTTTTAGTAGAGACAGGGTTTCACCATGTTAGCCAGGATGGTCTCGATCTCTTGACCTTGTGATCCGCCCGCCTCGGCCTCCCAAAGTGCTGGGATTACAGGCTTGAGCCCCTGCGCCTGGCCTTTTTTTAAGTAGAGACGGGGTCTGCCCAGGCTGGTCTCAAATGCCTGGCCTCAAGTGATCCTCCTGCCTTGGCCTCCCAAATTGCTGGGATCACAGGCATGAGGCACCATACCCGGTCTCAAGCATAGAACTTTTTCTTCTGGTACTAGACTATGTTTGTTTGTCTGTTCAGTTTTCTGTCGATGGACATCTGGGTTGTTTCCACCTTTTGGCTATTATGAATCATAGCACCATGCACTGCTACACCCAATGGCTGCTATGAACATTCAGGTATGAATGTTCGGACACCTTTTCATTTCTCTTGGACAGATACCTAGGAGTGGAATTGAGTCACTGGGTTGAGCGTCTGATGATGTCATTGTTCTACAAAGACAGGTCAAACTCCCTACTATATTGAAACAGTTTCTCTCTCCTTTCTTTCTTGCAAAGTACCCATCTTTGAATTCGAGAAAGTTCGTGTAATGGGACTACTACATACACTGAGTGGCCGACATGCCACAGCAGTGCTCAGCAGGCCTCTGGGGCCGGGGATGTGGGGGAGGGCTAGAGGAAGGTACGGTCACAGCTTCTCCATGTCCATCTCCTCTCCTAGGTACAAGTCCTTATGCCCAGACACCTGGCCGCACTGGCACGGGCCTCCAGCAGAGGGCGTGGAACGGCTGATCAAGTACATCGGCTACAAACCCGAGGAATACAAGTTAGGCAAGTAAGTGACCAGAAGACCACCAAATGGTCTCTTCCCTTGACATCAAAGGGTTTTGTGCATTGATCCGTATCCATCTAGAGCCTGGAGACTCGATTCCTAGGGATTTATGGAGATTTGCGAGATTTATGCTTCATCTACTCGATGTAAATGCAGCTCTTAATTCTTTAGAAGAGCTATGGTGCTGCCGGTGGGAGGAAATGAAGTTATAAAGGAAACTTCCGCACTAAACTGATTTAGCAGATGGGCCTCCTTGCTAGCAAAACAAAGAGGGAACCAGAGGGGGCACCTAACGTCCGTGTGCCTGGATTCTTTCACTGTTCCCATGTACGCATGACCTGCCAGAGGAGCTACTGGGACCTAGACAATGTGAGATCATCTGTAGCATCTCAGAAATGGTGTGCTGGAACTCTTAACTGTAGAGTTGTAGTTATCCATGAGCAGAGACTTTCGTACACATTGAAAGCTTTCAGGCACAACTCAAGGGACATGAATCGGGAAGATCCGAGTCCGTCTTGTGCGTCATTTTGGTCAGGGTTAATGAGGTTGCAGGGAAAGGTGTCTCAGCATGAAGATCTATTCCCCGACAGCAGGGCTTCCCCACTCCAGAGAGCTCTGCCTGTGATCCTGTTCATGGGCTTTCCCTGCTGACTCCTAACTCCCACTTGTACATGGTCGTCTGGGCCGCCTTGGCCTCTCTCCATCTGTAGACTCCTATTCTGGGCCTGTTCCAAGGATCAGTTACTTAGTCAGTCCAGATCTCCAAGGGGATTCTGCAAGGCTCAGCACATCCTGAGGGAGGCAGGGCATGGAGGTCAGAGGTGGGATCCGTCTGTCCCCTGTTCCATAAATTGAAACAGGGACAAGGGAGAGTGGGATCACCAGGCACCACCCACTGCTGTCCCCAGTGGCTGCCCTGGGAACTTTCCCTCACCAGGCCTGGGGTCGGGCAGGCAATGTGAGGTCAGTATTTGTAACTTCTCTCTGCTGGCTACTGTGATCTTCTTTTTATTTTTTTATTTTTTGAGACAGAGTCTTGCTCTGTCACCCAGGCTGCAGTGGCATGATCTCGGCTCACTGTAACCTCCGCTTCCTGGGTTCAAGCGATTCTCCTGCCTTAGCCTCTCGAGTAGCTGGGATTACAGGTGCACACTACCACAATGGGCTAATTTTTGTATTTTTAGTAGAGACAGGGTTTCACCGCGTTTGTCAGGCTGGTCTCAAACTCCTGACCTCAGGTGATTCACCTGCCTCGGCCTCCCAAAGTGCTGGGATTGCAGGCGTGAGCCACCGCGCCCAGCGTGATCTTCTTTTAAGCTTAGATCCACATTATTTGTCTGGCTGGGCGTGGTGGCTGGTGCCTGTAATCCCAGCTACTCGGGAGTCTGAGGCACGAGAATCATTTGAACCTGGGAGATGGGGGTTGCAGTGAGCCGAGATTGCACCACTGCACTCCAGCCTGGGCAACAAACTGAGACTCTGTTTCAAAACAAAAACAAAAAACAAACAAAAACACCCATATTCTTTGTCGTCACTCTTTAAAGCCTAGCAACATAACTTGAAGCAACTTCAGGTTACGTTGGTTTATTCATTTCCTAGGACTGCGTAACAGATGATCACAAAGTGGCTGATTTAAAACAAATCTATTCTCTCCTAGTTGTGGAGGCCAGAAATCCAAAAATCAAGAGTTGGCAGGGCCACATTCCTGCGGGAGCCTCTTTTAGCTCTGGTGGCTCCTGGCATTGCTTAGCTGTAGCCGTGTCCCTCCAATCTCTGCCTCCGTCCTCACGTGGGCTCCTCCCTGTGTCTTTCTGTGTGTATAGAGACACTCTCAATGGATTTAGGGCCCACCCTATTCCAGGATGAGCTCATTTCTATCCTTACCTCAATCACATCTGCAAACACTATTTCCAAATAAGATGGTATTCTGAGGTTCTGAGTGGAAATGAATTTTTGAAGGGGGCACCGTTCAACCCACTAGATGGTAAACTGACCAATTAATAACAAAAACATTTCTTTTCACTTCTAGAACCAAAATATTCATTCGTTTCCCCAGAACTCTGTTTGCTACCGAAGATGCCTTTGAATTTAGTAAACATCAACTAGGTATGATTTCTTTTTCTGTCCCGATTTCAATAGAATATGAAATGAACAAGTGGAGCTTGGGGGTAAATCTTAAACACGGGTGTTTGATATAGTGTTAGAAGCATTCGCTTTGGAAACTAGGAACGAGATATGGGATTATGATAAGATCCCTGTGAATTTCTGCTTTAATGACTGCTTGGAGGTCAGTCACAGATGCAGGCAGATATATAAACATTGTTCCGCCGTTTCAGTTCTCGTTTGGATCAGATTCTGTTGTTCACTACTAGGGTGTAAAACCGTGAGAGACCAGCCCCTTGAAATTAAAGTTTACAAAACTTCACTTGTCTGCGTGTCTGATGTTGGAAAGTTTAGCTTCAAAGCCTGCAGCCTGGGTGTTTGCTGGGAATGGTCAATGAGAAAAGTTAGATGGGGAAATGCAAAAAGTAAAAAATCAAAACTGCGGGGGGAGGGAGCGTCTCTTTTGAAATGTAACCGGTCTGTCAAGAACTACGCTTGAGTCATTTGAGGGCCTGCTGTGCGCCAGGTGAACACTAAGTCCTTTAAACCATGGTCTCATTCTGTTCTGAGAACAGACCTGTAAGGGAGGTGACATAGGTGCTATCGTCTCCGCTTTCTATGCAGGGAAACTGAGGCACGGAGGTGTTGGTAACTTGTTGAAGGCTACACAGCAAGTAAGCAGCCTAGCTGCGGTTTGAACCTGGGTCTGTCTGGCTTCAAGGCTTGGTGGTCTCATTTTCTGACCTCCGTAGCAGTGGGCACCAATGGCTGGGGATCTGGTTGAAGGGCCACAGTTAGGCCAGTGGGGCCTGAGCCAGCATCTCTAACCAGCTCGTGGGGAATAGGATGTGGCTGCTCTGCAAGGCTCTTGATGAGCTTGGCCTCTGATAGGACCTAAATTGCTGTGTGGAGGGGGTGGATGCAGGATGTAGAAGCCGAGGGAGAGTGTTCTCTGATCAGACCTGGATTCATGCTCCTCCTTAGCTGTGTTGCCCGGCAAGCGTCTTCACCATCTGTCTGAGCCTGCGTGCCCATTTATAAAACATGCTGATGATGCCTGCCTTGTGGGGTGGCGTATGAGAATGAAATCTAATGCCTGACATGGAACTGGGGGGCTTGTAGCACTAGGTCTGTTCCTTGCCCTGGGAAAAGGAAAGGCAGGAAGGAAACTCCAGTTCCCGGGCAGCATCTGGGAGCCAGGCGTCATGTAACCAGCCAGCTCTCAGGTCTGCAGTGCTGAAATAGCTTCCTGAAACATCACTACACCACAGGACTTTGATGCCCCCTTCCATCGGCCCCCAAACACCCCTGGAGATCACAACCACAAAGATGCGCAAATGCAAAGCCATTTCACCAAAACGTCTGTTTTATTTTAAGTTGCAAGAATCCAAGCCACTTACAAACGCTGCCTAGGAAGGAGAGAATACGTGAAAAAAAGACAAGCAGGTAAGAATTAAATAGAAACAAATAAGTTTGCTCCCTTTCTCATCTGCTTGGCACCTGGGGGCACATTTGTGAGTTCTCTCCCCCTGCTCATCCTTAAAACCTTGTGTGGTGCTATCTTGGGGTCCAGTTCTGGGGCCTCTTCTCATTTTTACCTTATTGATTGGAGATTATAACATAGTGGCCTGTATGTGTTCCACAGGCATGTTTTATTAGTCCTACAATATGTGTACATTTAAAGAATAATTTTGTGGGCCAGTCGCGGTGGCTCATACCTATAATCCTAGCACTTTGGGAGGCTGAGGCGCGTGGATTACTTGAGCTCAAGAGTTCAAGACCAGCCTTGGCAGCATGGTGAAACCCTGTCTCTACCAAAACAAAACAAAACAAAACACCCAAAAATTAGCTAGGCATGGTGGTTAATGCCTGTAGTCCCAGCTACTTGGAGGGCTGATGCAGGAGGACTGTTTGAGCCCAGGAGGTGGAGGTTGCAGTGAGCCACGATGGAACCACTGCACTCCAGCCTGGGTGACAAAGTGAGACCCTGTCTCAAAAAAAATAAAAGAATAATTTTTGAAAAAGTTTCAAACATACAAGTACCCTTGAAGCCCTTCCATTTTTTTGTCCCTCCCCAGTCATGTTCTCAAACAACACTCCCACCCACACGCATACATTTCTTGAGAGTAACCACTCTCTTGAATTTTGCATTAATCATTCTCTTGTTTTTCTTCAATAGTTTCACTATCTATGGGTGTATCTCTAAATAATATATTTATAATTTAGCATGTTTTAAACTTAACTATACTCTTGGTATTTTGGGTGACATTTTTGCACTCCAAATTGATTTTGAAATTCAACCAGGAGATGTGCATAGATTTAGTTATTCATTTGCTGATAGCTACATAGTATTCCACTATAGCAGCAGAGGTCAGCATTATAGGAAGTATTTTAGACTTGGGAGTCTTATGGTCTCCATCGCAGTAACTCAAGTCTGCCATGGTAGCAGGAAAGTAGCTTTAGATAATATGTAAATGAATGGACAGGGCTGTGTAGAGATAAAACTTTACATAAACAAGTGGCAGGCTGTAGTGGGCCAGCCCCTGAGCTATGAGTATGCCACAACTTAGCTGTTCTGTTGATGGACGTTTGGGTTGATTCAAGTTGCTTGTCTTTGTAATAGAAACAATGCTGTTCTGAGGATTCGAAGAAAAGCGTTTAAAAAATCTGAAGAGCATTTAAAAATTGGGAAACAGGCCAGGCATGGTGGCTCACACCTGTAATTTCAGCACTTTGGGAGGCTGACGTGGGCAGATAACCTGAGGTCAGGAGTTCGAGATCAGCCTGCCCAACATGGCGAAACCCCGTCTCTACTAAAAATACAAAAAAAAATTAGGCGTGGTGGTGCACACCTGTAATCCCAGCTACTGGGGAGGCTGAGGTGGGAGAATTGCTTGAACCCAGGCAGCAGAGGTTGCAGTGAACCAAGATCACACCATTGCACTCCAGCTTGGGCGACAGAGCAAGGCTCTGTCTAAAAAAAAAAAAAAAAAAAAATTGGGAAATAAGCCAGAACCTAAGTTTTATATGCCCTAGTTTGCTTGTGTACCCCAATTTTTAAATGTAGACAACTAAAAGTAAACCCCAGTGAGACTAAACATGGTGGTAAGACTAATCTGTACCATCACAAGTGCCATTGCTGTGGCTGAAAAAGACCCTGGGAAAATGACTCCCTCATGTAATTTCAGGGCTTCCCTAGAAACCTTCCATAGCCCCCTCTGTTCTGTCTCCCCCTGGTTCAGTTGTTGCCTGAGTACTCCCAGGTAAGAACTGATGACATTCATCCGACCTTCCATCTCTGAGGCTAACAGAGTGCTGCGGTGGGCGTCCAGATGTTTGTTGAATGGACAAAGCCTTCTGGAAAAGCCTTCTGTATTTCCATACGATTGTGCTCACCTTCTAATGCCAGCAGTGAACTCTTTCAGCCATCAAACTGGAAGCCCACTGGCGTGGGGCCCTGGCTCGGAAGGCAATCCAAAGGAGAAAGTGGGCCGTGCGGATTATCAGAAAGTAAGTTCTCAGGTACAACAGAGAGGACAGGTCACTAAATGCTGGTACCCTGCAGGGATGGTCATGGAGGTAGATGAGTTCTTTGTGATTTTTTGATTTGTGCAGAAAGGAAAAACTCCCTTCAGAATGCCATTAGGAATTCAGGTCCATCCCTTTGCTCTGAGCTGAATTTGATGGTGATCACAACTCAATGTATTTGGAATTTCTCTTAGCCTGGCTCAAAAGTCACAAAGTCAAATGCCTTCTGATGCCAGGCAGGTAAAGTGAGTGAGTCTCATGGGCTGGGATAAGACAACAGGGCATGGTGGAGACCAGCAAACTGGAACGCTCAGTCTACCTCAAGGTGGGGCGGTAACTAGCCCATTCCAGTTTACTGCTGCTGTGGGGAAATGTAGCCAGATGGCTTGAATTTTCAAGGAACGCTGAAATCTGGCTTTTGGGGTTTTGTTGTTGTTGTTTGTTTTTTTTGTTTGAGATGGAGTCTCACTCTGTCGCCCAGGCTGGAGTACAATGGTGTGATCTCGGCTCACTGCAACCTCCGCCTTCTGGGTTCAAGCGATTCTCCTGCCTCAGCCTTCCAAGTAGCTGAGATTACAGGCACACACCACCACACCCGGCTAAATTTTTTG
The DNA here is from genome assembly GCF_000001405.40 of Homo sapiens. Lineage (NCBI taxonomy): Eukaryota > Metazoa > Chordata > Mammalia > Primates > Hominidae > Homo > Homo sapiens. The sequence continues at coordinate 109,439,250 of NC_000012.12, forward strand.
TATTTTTAGTAGAGAGACAGGGTTTCACCATGTTGGTCAGGCTAGTCTCGAATTCTTGACCTCAAATGATCCGCCTGCCTCAGCCTGCCAAAATGCTGGGATTACAGGCATGAGCCACCATGCCCAGCCTTGAAATCTGGCTTTTATGCCCTGCTTCCTAACTTTTTAAAATTGGCAGCTAATTAAAGCTCCTCAAAACAAAACAAAAGGCCGTGTGGGTGAAATCGAACATATATGTGGGGCAGATTTGGCCTCTGGCCTATGTGGTCATCTCCACAGCCTCTACCACTTTGGCCGCCTCTGAATCAAAGAAGGGGGAAGAGAATGTAAATCTCGGTGAAGAAATGGTCCAGAAAAGTAAGAAAACATTTTCCTTTTTAGGTTCATTAAAGGATTCATCAGTCGCAACAAACCCCTCTGTCCTGACAACGAGGAATTTATCGTGTTTGTGCGGAAGAATTACATCTTGAATCTCCGGTATCACCTTCCAAAGACTGTCCTGGACAAGAGCTGGCTGAGGCCTCCTGGCATCTTGGAAAATGTAAGGACTAATCTGGGATTTCCAGTGTTGTAAGTAGCACGGGCACTGACGAAGCTTAACTCTTGCATGTCTTTGTGCTGCCTCCCTTTGGCTTGAAAGGGCTGCCCTGGCAAAGCCCTTCTTCCCAAGGATGCTGCACAAGAAATTGAACTCCTCAGAATTTGCGATGTCCTTAGTAGCATTATAAAGCCACTGGAGTGTCCTTAGTAGCATTATAAAGCCACTGGAGGTTGTTTAAACAGAGCACTTTTTTTTTTTTTTTGAGATGGAGTCTTGCTCTGTCACCCAGGCTAGAGTGCAGTGGCGCGATCTTGGCTCACTGCAACCTCCGCCTCCTAGGCTCAAGTGATTCTGGTGTGTCAGCCCCCCTGAATAACTGAGATTACAGGCGCCCGCCACCATGCCTGGCTAATTTTTGTATTTTTAGTAGAGACGGAGTTTTGCCATGTTGGCCAGGTTAGTCTCGAACTCCTGACCTCAAATGATCTGTCCGCCTCAGCCTCCCAAAGTGCTGGGATTACAGGTGCGAGTCACCGTGCCCAGCCGACAGAGTACTTTCGAATCATTTCTATTCCTGACGTAGCCTTCCTAGAATAGCATCCCTCAAGAGATGATCTGAGGACCCTCTGTGTCTGGAACTTAGAGGCGGGGCTGTTGTAAGAGTCCCGGGCTCCACTTTGGACCCACTGAGTCAGAATCTCCAGGAATCTCATTATAGCCAGTTCTGCAGGTGAGTCATAAACATATTCAAGTTTGAGAATCATTCGTTAAGCAACAGCAAAAAGTTGGGAGAGGATCAGGTTAGCTGCTGTGACTATAAAATATAAAATATTAACACTGTGCTTGAAATCAAACTGAATTCAGCAGTGTTTTTTTAAAGCTTCATTTTGATCGCCACAGCCCCAGACAGGGAGTGAGTGAGGCAAGTGGAAAGAAGTGTGTTCTCCACACAGGCATCAGATCTGCTCAGGAAAATGTGCGTGAGGAACCTGGTGCAGAAGTACTGCCGCGGGATCACAGCTGAGCGGAAAGCAATGGTAGGGACATGATGTCTGCGGTGGCCGGTGGTGGGGGTGGGTGTAAGAGTGGGTCCTGAGTGTCAGTCCTCCTCATCCACCATTTCACCTATAAGCGGGGGTCATGCTAGTCCCATGCTTTGAAATGTTCAAGATAATTGCAGGTAGACCTGCAGAGAGCCCTGGATGAATGCCAGCTGTTACTGTAATCAGCATGGCTCCGTTTGTTACCATGGGAACACAATCACAACGGCTCCTGCCATCCATCCACCGGAGCAGAGAATGTAGACCCCTTTCTGCTGGAAATCTGTTTTTCACCGTGCTAACCTGCGGGTCTTTTGTGTAAAGGGCTAGAAGAGTAACTATTTCAGGGTTTGTGGCCTTTCTCTGTTGGAATTACTCAACTCTGCTGCTACAGTGAGAAAGCAGCCATGGACAATGTGTGCATGAATGGCATGGCTCTGTCCCAATAGAATGTTACTTACAAAAAGGGACAGCAGGCTGAGTTTGGCCTGCAGGCTGTGGTTTCCCAATCCCTGATCTACAAGAAACTGCTCTTGGAACTCTGGAAAATCCACTTTCAGGAAGGTAGTAAGGGAACGAGCAGAAACGTCAACCCAGTCTCTACCAATATGACTTTCAGGGCATTTTGGCCAAAGCCAGGAAGGTGTTCTGACTTGTATGCTCCAGGGTAACAAGGCTCCCACAGTTTATCCAGCAAAGGATGTGACCTCAATGGGTCTAGAGCTCTTCTATCCCAAAGAAGCCTGTGGCTACCATTTTTATACTTTCAATTGTGTATTACCAGATGCAGCAAAAGGTAGTTACAAGTGAAATCTTCAGGGGAAGGAAAGACGGCTACACAGAAAGTTTAAATCAACCCTTTGTCAACAGTCGGATAGGTAAGTACATTTTCCAGCCTATGTACTTGGCTTTCCAATTCTAAAAGGAGTTAAAGGGTGGGGTGCGGTGGCTCATGCCCATAATCTCAGCACTTTGGGAGGCCGAGGTGGGCGGATTGCCTGAGCTCAGGAGTTCGAGACCAGCCTGGCCAACATGGCGAAACCCCATCTCAACTAAAATACAAAATATTAGCAGGGCGTGGTGGTGTCCACCTGTAGTCCCAACTACTCGGGAGGCAGAGGCAGGAGAATGGCTTGAACCCAGGAGGCGGAGGACGCAGTGAGCCGAGATCATGCCACTGCACTCCAGCCTGGGAGACAGAGCGAGACTCTGTCTCCAAAAAAATAAGTCAAAGGCAGATGCTCAACTCTGCAGCATTTCCTGATGGCTATTTCCCCACCTGAGATCTTAGCACAGAGATGCATAACAAAACTAGCAGATACCAATGACTTTTCCACAGGATTGGTACTTTAGTGATGATTCATGGCCTTCTGGTTCCCTCTCTAGATGAAGGAGACATTAATCCGAAAGTGCTTCAGCTAATTAGCCATGAGAAAATCCAGGTAAGGCGATGTGTGTCCTCAGTCTCAAACAGGATTCCCTCATCGAGTCTAAGAGCAGGGTCCCCTTTCTCCATAAAGGGCGCACTATTTAAATGCAGGGGTGCAGCTGGGCAGCTGGGGCTCTCAACTGTGATGCTTTGGGTATTAACTAAGATGATGGGGAACAAATGATGATTAGATAATGGCTGCTGTTCTCATGACACCTCCGTCACCCTAGAAACTGTCTTGGTTTGCTTTCCTACAAAATTGAATGAAGTGTAGCCATGAACTTAATCACGAAACACCCCCTTATTGGTGAGAGGCAGTGTGGCATAGTGCCTGGGCACTGACACTTGCTTTGAACGTAGCAGCCGTGAGATCCTGGGCAGGTCACTTAAGCTCTTGGTGCCTCTGATCTTCTGTGAATGAGGATGATGGGTTTACTGAGAGGATGAATGAGTCGGTGGGCGAGAGGTGCTCAGGCTGCTGCCTGGCACGCAGCAGCAGGTGAAGCCCTGGTGATCGTGTGTGCCAGTGTCTGCTCTTTTTTTTTTTTTTTTTTTTTTTGTTCCCTGGGGAATAGAAGCCACTGTGACTGGATTGGATTACACTGTGGCTGTGAGAGTTTTCATCTCTGACCATCAGAGCAGACCTGCAAGGCAGGCAGCCATAGCCTTGACTTCCTCAGAGGGCAACGCAGGTAGGCAGAGCTAGGGATCCAAATCCCCATCATGCAGAGAGCCAGGAAAAAAAAAAAAATATATATATATATATATATGTGTGTGTGTGTGTGTGTATATATGTGTACGTATGTGTGTATATATGTGTACGTATGTGTGTATATATGTGTACGTATATGTGTGTATATGTGTACGTATATATGTGTGTATATGTGTACGTATGTGTGTGTATATGTGTACGTATGTGTGTATATGTGTACGTATATGTGTGTATATGTGTACGTATATGTGTGTGTATATGTGTACGTATATGTGTGTGTATATGTGTACGTATATGTGTGTGTATATGTGTACGTATATATGTGTGTATATATGTGTACGTATATATGTGTGTATGTATGTGTACGTATATATGTGTGTATATACACACACACACACACACACACACACACACACACACACATACACGCAAAATCTGTTTGAGCTTTTCTAAATGCTTGACATCACTTTACCGGTGTCTGAGTAGCAAGAAACTCGGTACTCTGCCCCACCTTCCCTGGTGAAGTCACCTTCCCCTTGCAGTATGGTGTCCCGGTCATTAAATATGACAGAAAAGGCTTCAAAGCACGGCAGCGGCAACTCATTCTTACTCAGAAAGCAGCTTACGTGGTGGAACTTGCCAAAATCAAGCAGAAAATAGAGTACTCAGCTCTCAAAGGTAAGAAGTGGGCAATCTTTAAAACAATGCACTGAGTTGACTCAACTACTGGAAAGCCCAGTAATGAAGCTCCCAAATGGGAAACACAAGTGTAGGGTGCCCATAAACCCCGGGGTAGTGATGCACACCTGTAGTCTCAGCTACTCGGAAGGCTGAGGCAGGAGGATCACTTGAGCCTGGGAATTCGAAGCTGCAGTGAGCTATGATTGTGCCACACACTCCAGCCTGGGTGGCAAAGTGAGACTCTGGCTCAAAAAAAAAAACAAAAAACAAAACCATCTGCCCTCCTCCCCTAGCGTTGCCCAGCCTGGACTGCACCCTTATTCTGGCATAAATATTAATAGCACCACTTTACTCAAGTACCCAGGTTGGGCAATAGTCTGCTTCCACGGTGATCAGAGCCCACTAGCAGGCTAAGATTTCTAAAGTATGCCCTTCATCCTTCTGGGCCCAGCTAGGAGAATGAAGTGTGGTGTTGGGCAGCCCCTGGGCGTATCTCTTCTTCCTCTGTACTAATGTCAAGCTCTCTAGTTCTTGGCTCCTAACTCTGGATCTGTCTTAAGGTGTCTCCACTAGCAATCTGAGTGATGGAATCTTAGTCATTCATGTTTCACCAGAGGACAGCAAGCAAAAGGTAATTGACAGCCACCAGTCTCTACTAAAAGACAGAAACAATACACTGCCAAAATGTTAAGTTGACCACCGTGAAACTTCTCTATTGGAGTGTCTGTTTCTTTAAGCTGTGAATACTGAAATTATGCCTTGTCTCCTCCCCACCCCAGGGGGATGCCGTTTTGCAGTGTGGACACGTGTTTGAAGCAGTTACTAAACTCGTCATGCTGGTTAAGAAGGAGAACATTGTCAATGTTGTTCAAGGAAGGTAGGTGGCTTCATCTTCAGCTCAGGAAGTAATTCAATGTTAAAATGTTTATTAAGGCCGAGCGTGGTGGCTCATGCCTATAATCCCAGCACTTTGGGAGGCTGAGGTGAGCAGATAACTTGAGGCTAGGAGTTCAAGACCAGCCTGGCCAAAATGGTGAAACCCCGTTTCTACTAAGAATACAAAGATTAGCCGGGTTTGGTGGTGCACACTTGTAATCCCAGATACTTGGGAGGCCTGAGGCACGAGAATCCCTTGAACCCAGGAAGCGGAGGTTGCAATGAGCCAAGATCACACCACTGCACTCCAGCCTGGGCAACAGAGATAGACAATGTCTCAAAAAAAAAAAAAAATTACAGATCGGGGAAGATGCAAATATTGTTTTCACTCCTGCTTGCCTCCTGCTTCCAACGTAATCAAGCACCATCTCTACCAGTAAGGGGTGAGAAGCCTCTAGTGTTACATCCTCGCCCCTTCCCATAAGTAACTTTTTTCCGTCTTCATCCCTGGGATCTTGGCCTTCAGAGAAATGAAGTCAGTGAAGGCAGGATATCCTGGAGAGCTGTTTCTTTTCCCTCATCCTGTGCTGTTCCAAGTTTTAACAACCAGAGCACATTTGTAGGTGGAATAAGGAGAGAGAGTTGAGTGCTTTGAAATGTGTTGTCTTTGTGTTGCTGTACCTGAGGGAATACTCAGCCCCTCAGAGTTTCAGTGTGATATGGAAGTAGTTCCATAGACATCAACTGACCCTTTGAAGAACTGAATGTGCTCATTTGATCTCATGGTAACTACAGAAACATGTAAGTTGCCCAGCTGTGGCAACAGCATTCTTCCTTTCCTCAAATATGCAATAAAACACTGTAATAAAACAGGAATTTGATCTTGAAACTAGTAGAATTTAATAAGTGAATTTCTTCTGTAGACCAAAGGTTGAGAGAAGAAAATACAGTATGTCAGTAATGTGTCACTTTGTGTATTTTAAGTTTACAGTTTTTTATTAGTCCGGGAAAAGAAGGCACAATAGTTTTCGACACTGGACTGGAAGAACAAGTCTATAAAAATAAAAATGGACAATTAACAGTGGTGAGTGGCCGTCTCTGGGAGGGAAGTAAGCCGTTTTAGATGAGAATATAAGTTAAAGTTCTACCAATTTCAGTCCTGTAGATTGACTGGAATCATAAGCTATTAATAGTTCATTTCTGCCCTCTATTCCTAATTCTACATCTGTAAGACAGGAAGAAACTGATATAGAGATACACACATCTAAACACTGAATGAGAAAAGAAAAAAAGCTTAACCATCCTTGTCAGTGAACCAGAAGCTGACATGAGACACTTCCCAAATAGCAGAGTCTAACTTTTCACTGGATAAAGGCTTCACGCTTATTACAGTTATCCATAACTATCCATAACTTCCCCCCACGTGGAAATCAATGCGCTTGTGTCCCACCCAGATACTGAGACTTAATTGGTTGGAGGTGCGGCTTAGGCTTCAGGATGCAAGAAAATATAAACGTAAGAAAAATATGTAAGAAAGAAATGTGTAAAAAATATGTAAGAAAATATAAAGTTGCTTTTTGGAATACATGTGTCAAAGGCTGCCCATGTTAATACCTTTGGTATAAAATGGATCTAACAAGCACAGAGGTTTGGGAACCATGGCTACGTTAGGGAGAAGTCTAGCCTGAGCACACAAGTACGCTGCCTTCCCTGACTGTGCCCATGCTGGGCTGAGGGTCCCAGTGGTCCTCGCTGGCTGCTAGTACACGGAGCTTGTTTTGATCCAGTTTTGCTGAAAACGACATGTTAAAAGCAGAGGGAGCTGAATCTTTAAAATGTATCTTGTATTATAGGAAGAATTTTGATACAAATTAATTAAAAAATGGTCTGTGAACATGGAGTGTCTCATACACATTTAAATTTAAGTGGATTTACCTATAAAGTCATTTTGCAGGCCCGGCGCGGTGGCTCACGCCTATAATCCCAGCACTTTGGGAGGCCGAGATGGGCAGATCACCTGAGGTCAGGAGTTCGAGACCAGTCTGGCCAACATGGTGAACTCCGTCTCTACTAAAAATACAAAAATTAGTTGAGCATGGTGGCACATGCCTATAGTTCCAGATACTCAGGGAGGCTGAGGCAGGAGAATTGCTTGAACACAGGAGGCGGAGGTTGCAGTGAGCTGAGATCGCACCACTACACTCCAGCCTGGGCGATAGAGTGAGACTCCATCTCAAAAAAATAAAATCATTTTGTAGATATAAAATAATTGCCCCTAGACACAATGAACTCCTTTGGGGACAAGTTAAAATAAGGATCATTTTGGATGTAGACTATAAGGTGTCTTTTTAGTTTACACACTGTCTTAAAAGTGACACCCCAGAGACTGTGTCTCTCTCCTCTGGAGTCACACGGAGTCCATCTTCCTCCCTGACTGGTTCTGGCTGAAGAGGCTGACAGGCCTCGATGAGCCAGTTTCTAAGTCTGGCTTGTCTCATGGGAGGTGGCACTGGCTTCTCACAGGCCCTCCACACCCACCTTGCTAATGGTGACAGTTGAGGTGATAACTGTTTCCTTTTGCGCAAAGGGAGCGGGGAAGGGCTGTAAACCGAAGTGTGACTCTCTCCCAGGTGTCAGTCCGGAGGAAGTCCTGATAGAGGATGACGTCTGACCTCTACCATCGCCATTTTTGCTCCAACTGAGGAAACTACAGGGGAAGTGGGGATTGGATCCAGTTAGCTACCTCTTCAAGGTACCAGGCCCGCAGCACTAACAGATCACATCTGAAGAAACTGAGGGGCGTTAGGCCAAAGCCTAATCCCAGCTCCTCAGCTGCCCCATGGCACCTTATTTAAAATGTCACCTTCTGGAAGCAGACCCCAGGTCACCCGAAGGCGCAATTCTAAACACCCTCGACAGGATCTATGTTCAGTGCGCAGTCCAACGTGTCATTAGAGGGTGGGCAAGATTCTCTACCTCTGTCAAGCTGCCCTGAGACATGATGAAATACTGTGTACAGCAAGTTCTCAAATAACATTTCGTTATATGTTGATAAGACATCTGATTCCTGGGCAGGGCCACTGTCTGGGTGGAGTCTGTATGTTCTCCCCATGTCTCTGGGTTTCTTCTGGGTGCTCTGGTTTCCTCCCACGTCCCCAAGGTGTGTGTGTCAGGTGCACTGGCGTGTCTATGCGGTCCCAGTCTGAGTGAGTGTGGGTGCGTGAGCCCCGTGAGAGGAGGACATCCTGTCCAGGGTGGGTCCCGCCTTCTGCCCTGAGCTGCTGGGATTGGGCTCTGGCCATCTGCAACCCTGAACGTGCAGGTTGGAGAACGAATGAATACAAATTTTATTGTAAAATAAAAATGTATATAAAGCATATGAGCACACAAATGGACAATAAATGCCACAGCGCAAAAGCGTGTAGCGAGCCTGCCACGCTTGTGACTGGGGAGGGGCTCCGTATAATCTCACCTTTGCAAGCGTTTATTTACTGATGTATGCGGCCACCACTGTGACCACCATCACTTACCGATTCACCAAAACTTAGGTAATATGGTCTTATTTTTGATTTAATTAAATATACGTGTAGCTCATGTATTTCACAGTTTAATATGAGAAGTGCTTTGGTCTTTATTTAGAAATTGGGTGATGTTTTTGTGCCCAGCAACATGCTGTAGGAATTTAACTCTTGTTTACATCCATTAGCCTCATGGTTTTGCTTCAAGTCTCAGCTTCCAAGAACCTATCGATGACTTACTGTGCATGGTCTGAGACTAAGTAAAGGAAATTTCCTAAAGCTGTGAAATTTGAATTTTGCTTTAAATAAATGGAACTCACATGTGTCAAGGGATTGGGTTTGGTGAACTGAAGCCCTCTGCCCCATAATAGCAAATCAGTGGTAACACCAGCTGATTCACTTTTTCATGAGCCAGGCAGCCTTTGACCCCAAGACTTCCTTTTGGTGTTTGAATTCAAACAAACACTACAGAAACATGACTGTCTTTTCCCTTCCACCTGGAGCGACTTTAAGGGGCTGAGGCAGAACGTGGGGGCCCTGCCTTTGTTGTAAACCGATTTTAGGGGCCTGGTTATGCCGGGCATGCCTGAAAAGAGCCAGAAAACAGAAGCATTTTATGACTTTTATTTTACATGTCGCCAACGTTTGTACAACATACAGTGGCTACATCTAAAACTTTGAGCATTTTTTTATGGCGCAAAGAGACAGAAAGGTTAATGACACACTTAACTGTTACAGTGACTTTGGGTAGGGCCCTAAAGACAGCACACGCTCCAGAGGGCGGGCTGAGTGTTGTTCACACTTGGGTCCTGAATCGCTGTTGTAAGGTACAGAGACACACTTTAACTGGGGAATGGGGTCCCCACACAGTGATCGCCCCACGGGAGGGTGACAGAATATGCCAGGAATTGTCTTGGACATGGGCCCCAGTCACCACAATCAGATGGCTTATTTGAAACAAACAAACAAAAAAAACCCTTGATTACGACACACCAAAGCTGTTCCAATTTGTAAAAAACTGTAGTTATTACATTGCAATGAAATCTCTTTACCAAATCTTGGGCCAGTGTTTTACCTGGATAGTGCTTACATTATAAATATTGGTTTTTGCCCTTAGTGCTAACATAAGAAAAATCAGTTCCTTGTATACTCAATAACAGAGCTTGGACCAGCCAATGCTGTCTATTCACTCATGGCTATAATGCAGCCGACAGAATTGTTCACCATGGAATGTTTTATAAACCTGTTCATATTCCAGAGAGACAAAGACTCAAAACTACAAGTGCAAAGTTGGGTAGAGAGAGCTGCCAGAAACACTAGCTCATTAGGCATAGAGGCCACAGCAAATCAAATTGTTCCACAAACTCATTCTTCACACAAACATTTAAAACACTATGCAGCCAGGTGTGGTGACTCACACCTGTAATCCCAGCACTTTGGGAGGCCAAGGTGGTCGGATCACAGGGTCAGGAGTTCAAGACCAGCCTGGCCAACATGGTGAAACCCCATCTCTACTAAAAATACAAAATTAGCTGGGCATGGGCTGATGGGTACCTGCAATCCCAGCTACTCGGGAGGCTGAGGCAGCAGAATCGCTTGAACCCAGGAGGCACAAGTTGTGGTAAGTGGAGATGGTGCCACTACACTCCAGCCTGGCCAATAGAGCAAGACTCCGCCTCAAAAAAAAATTTATACAATGGCTTTTCCATTTTCCTGGCCAACATTCACTTCGACTTTCTAAAAAAGCTCAACCCAAAAGAAAGACAGGGTTGGTGTTTAACACTTAAACAGTATAAAATATTTACGAAACATTTTGTAAGCCCTCTTTCCTTAGCACTTAATAAAATCCAAATGGCCTAATATAAAAGTTTCTCACACGACAGTTTAAAAAGCATCTGCCCAATACACGATTTTGACATTCAGTCATGATTGTTTTAAAGTTTTATTGTAGACTTTGCTGTTGGATACAAAATGAAGGCATACAACTGTCACAGGCAGGGCAGTAAGTACAAAGTCTAAGCTGTAAAAACCGTTTGAAAATATAAACTCGTTTTTGGAATACATGTGTCAAAGGCTGCCCATGTTAATACCTTTGGTATAAAACGGTAACGATTCCCTTGACAAACCCATCCATCACCTGACGCACATTCACATCTCCTGGTAACTACTCTACCTAGTCTAGTCTCAACCACCCCTGTCAGTCACGACTCACTCCTGTTCCTTTGCAGGTGCAGAGGAGCCTGGGAGGTAGGTCACTGAGAACACCCGTCCTACATAGGCGCTGCGCCCAGCCGGGCTCCAGCAGGGGCCGCCACCTGTGCCCCACAAGCACACGTCCCCACCCACAGTCACACATATCCCTTAAACAAACATGAACACAGACACAAACCAGACCCAAAGTTATCTATCTACCCGCACATCCTCAACCTGTTCACTGCTGGCCACTCTACACTGTGTAAAAATCAGAGGCAAAGACAAGGGGGTCTGTGTTTATAGCAGGGAAGCTCCCTGGGGCTGGTGGTGTGAGGGTGTCCCTGCCTGGATGCCAGGCTGGGAGGACAAAGGGTATGGGCCACACTGAATTTCTAAGCAAAATGACTTAGAAAGTTAGCCCAGCTTCATGGGGAAGGAGGCTGAAGAGGAGCGGGATCCCAGGGAGGGGTAGTTTATGAGCTATGCCTGTCACAGGGTCAGATGGCCTTCCTGGAGTGGAGTCGGGTCAATCAGGAGAACAACTGGACGGGGCTGGAGTTGGGGAAAGAACCAGAAACAGAGCTGGACACTTACTGCCATGGAAAGTTCTGCTCCTACGCAGACATATGGGGTCCCAGTGAGCACCAGGCCAAAGACCAGCCCAAGGTGGCAAAAGGCTTGATCCCTAAACAAAGCCTTGCACCCAAAGTTGCACTGGTCTCAACGATTTAGACGCTCATTCAGCCATATTTCCACTGCCACAAGCTGCAATTATCAACAAGCTCTAGGCCCAAAGCCACATGGCAGAAAGCACGTCTAGCAAAGCAGTGGGGATTGTGCCCGGGCCAAACACACAGGAACCAGGAGTGGACCTGCTGGGGCTGGAGGATTATGAAATAGGAAGCAGGGAGCTCAGATACCTCTGGTGGCCTCCAACTGCAGGACAACTCTCAGAATTGTCAAACTGAACCCTTAAGGGAGTGTCACCCAAAAAGCCCACATAGGAAGTCGACACCCACAAAAATAAATATTGCAAACAAAAGTTCTCACATACACTTCACACTCATTCATACTTTTCCTCTGAGAACCGAGAAAGCCTGGCTCCAAAGAGTCTCAGATTCTCATGAAAAGTAGAGATCTTAGACACAGCTTGTTCAACGACAGGGGTCATACGCCTGGGTCAAGACAATCAATTTGCCTTGTCAAGCAATACCAAAATAATCATCTGGCTTGTTACAAAAGTATCTCCAGGCTCCAAGGGAAGCAGAAGGGGCCCGGCAGCCTGCACAGGATCTGGGTGTAGCACGGCAGGGAGTGGGGGCGGTGAGAGGAGGGCGGCTCGGTCTCTTGCCTGCTCACTGGTGGAGGTGGGCCCGGTCATCAGGGCGCTTGATGTGGATCCTCCGCACGCGCTCGATCCGCTCCCGCTCCTCGTCCTCGTCCAGGTGGTGGGAGCGCCCCGCCGCCCCGCCTGTGGCCTCCAGGAGCGCATTGTCAGGTCCCCGGCCATCCTGGGCCTCATACAGCAAAATGTTCAGGGTCTCCTCATAAATCCGGGCTTCGGGAAACTCCACCTGTGTTCCCACAGTATACAGGGCAGGTAAGTTATGGCCCACCCCCTCTGCCAACACCTGGACTTTAAGCAGGGCCGCCAGGCTAAATCAGGCCCCTGGGATTCTGCTGAAGGCCACCAGTATTATTTTTAAATAAACTGATATTTTCAATGGCAACACTTACATGTGGTGCTAAATGCACAGAAAATCAAGGGGATGCAGAGAAACAGGTCTCCCTGCCCCTAGTTTCCCTTCTTAAAGGTACAGTTTCTCATCATTTTACCCTCTCAAAGATTCTGTGCATGTAAATATGTGTAATACACATATTTATTCACACACTTCAAAAAACACACAAGGTGGCCCACCACACAGAGTTGTACATGTCTTCCTCTTGTGCCTAACTTAACCTAGAGATCATTCTGTATCAAGGAATTATAAATACGACAATGCAATTAACCATACTTGGATGGCCATTTAGGTCAGTGCTAATATGCTTCTCCTAACAGAGCTGCAACCTTGCACAGAAGTCCTTCCACACCTTAAAGCAGTCTCTAAAGCAGTTTTTTGTACAGGGTCCAGCTGGGGACTCCCACGAAATGGGCATGAGCCCTTCTGCTGTTTGGCAAATCATTGTGTTTGCTCATTGCCCTTCAGGGTTAAGGTGTGATGAACAGGAAGAGGGCCACATAAGCAGGTCCCACACATTTGATCAGACTAGACTCCACTTTCAGGGTGGAATTCGGAGGTTCTGGGAAAAATGGAGCAGGCACACTCTACCCCGTCTTCCTCACTGACACTACAAAGCCAGAATGGGATGCACACAGCAGCTAACTGTGGACTCAGAAGTAAATCATGGCAGGCAGATGGGGGAAACAACAGAATTTGGAGTAATGCCCAACAGTGAGTTTACTGTTTGCTGCTGCCAGCACTGATGCAGCCTGAAACCCTGAAATGGCACCAGGACAGAAGACCTCCAGAAGGTCTCTAGTGGCCAGGGAGGCCAACAGAGTCTAACAGGCAGAGAGGCTGGGAGGAAATCCTGGTTTTCTTTCCTTTTTTTTTAAAAGATATGGGATCTGGCTAATTAAGCTTTAAAATTTTAAGACTTCTCATTTTTAGAGCTTAATAAGGAGCAAGGGGATTTAGAGACCACATGGTCTGATCCCAACTGTTTCTTGATTCACAGACCAGGTTCAGGAGTGGCGTGTTCTTGTGTTTGTGAAGCTGGTTAGGGGCAGAGCCAGGACGGGAGTCCAAGGGCCTCTTTCTTTTCTCTTTTTTGTTTTGAGAGGGAGTGTTGCTCTGTCACCCAGGCTGGAGTGCAGTGGCACAATCATAGCTCACTGCAGCCTTGAACGCCTAGGCTCAAATGATTCTCCCACCTCAGCCTCCCCAAGTAGTTGAGACTATAGGCATGCATCACCATGCCCAACTAACTTTTTGTAGAGATGAGTGTGTTGCTATGTTGCCCAGGCTGGTCTTGAACTACTGGGCTTAAATGATTCTCCCACCTCAGCCTCCCAAGTAGTTTAGACTACAGGCACACACCACCATGCCCAGCTATTTTTTAAAAAATTTTTGGTAGAGACAGGGGTGTTGCTATGTTGCCCAGGCTGGTCTTAAACTCCTGGACTCAAGCAATCCTTCTGCTTTGGCCTCCCAAAGTGCGGGATTACAGGTGTGAGCCACCATGCTCAGTCCTTTTCTTTATTTTCTTGCACCCAGACCTGAGCATTCCTGTGGCAGCAACCAGAGACTGCAGGAGTCAAAACTCTGAGGGAAGGAACCTTCTTTTCTGATGAGAAGAGCTGTGGTCTCAGCAGGATTGGGAGAATCTGGTTGCTTTTTCTATCTTCATGCTCCTGGGCCCAAAATACAGGCATGGTTACAGAAAGTGGGTGGCAAAGGGGGAATAACCAAACCCCCAGCTTTCTGGCTGGCCGATCAGAGAAGGGGACTCCAGGGAAGCTTAGAGAACTGCGGAGAAGAGGAGCTTGAGAAAGCAGCCTGTGAAGTTGTATATGAACTCCTAGACCCACACCCAGCTGCAAGATCTACCCCTAAACTGCATACGCAGACTGAAAGAACTGAATGCTGCAAGAGATACTGCCCAGGACAGACGGGCCACAGCATGGCACACAGCTAGGACAGATTTGAAGGCTTTGAAAATCAAACTGTCACCGCAACTACAAACTACAGAAGGCTGGTTAGAGCTTGCAGCCTGAGCCCAACTGGGTCAATTGCCTGCTAAAACAAAAACATCAATGTTCTCCCTAGGATTTAAACAAGGCCTGGAGTCCTTTAACAATATTCAAAATGTTTAGGATACAATCAAAATTTCTCAATACACAAGAACCAAGAAATTCTCAACTCCTGTGGGAAATAACTCACAGATGCTAGCGCCAAGGTGACACAAGGTTTTGGAATTACCTGACAAAGACCTGGCAGCAGCTATTATTAACCTGTTCCAGTAAGTAAGGGCCAATGCTCTTAGAGCAAATGGAAACATAGGGAGTCTCAGCAAGGAGACAGAAAAACCAAATGAGCACTTGAGAACTGACAAATACAATAACCAACAACCTCAAACAAAAACACAACTTACCAGCAGGGCTCAATAACAGAGTGGAGATGAGACAGGAGAGGAGAGTGATATGGGCTGGGTGCAGTGGCTCATGCCTGTAATCCCAACACTTTGGGAGGCCAAGGTAGAAGGACCACTTGAGGCCAGGAGGTCGAGACCAGCCTGGGCAACATAGTGAAAGCCAGTCCCTACAAAAATAAATAAAATGAGCCAGGTGTAGTAGCATGCACCTGTGGACCCAGCTACTCAGGAGGCTGAGGCAGGAGGATCACTTGAGCCCAGGAGTTCAAGGCTGCATTGAGCTATGATTGTGTCACTGTACTCAAGCCTGGGTGACAGAGCAACACTCTCTCTCAAAACAAAGAGAAAAGAAAGAGGCCCTTGGCTTCCCATCCTGGCTCTGCCACTAACTAGCTTTACAAACACAAGAACATGCCACTCCTGAACCTGTCTGCTAATCTAGAAACAGTTGGGATCAGACCATGTGGTCTCTAAATCCCCTTGTTCCTTATTAAGCTCTAAAAATGAGAAGTCTTAATCTTTTAAAGCTTAATCAATATGGTGACTCTCCTCTTACTACCCAAGGGCAGAGGCAGCCCAGGTATATTTTTAAAAAATCAAACCATGACAGAATGGGGGTCTAATTACAGGAAGAATTCACAGCCCTGAAAAAAAAAAAACAGTTCACAGGAGAAAAGGGGCATGATGTCTTGCCAATGTGGAGAGAGAGGCAGATGATTCTGGTTCACCCCCTGCCCCCGGGATCTTTGAAAGCAAAAAGAACCTCAGTGTTTAGCACTTCTTGGCTACCTTAAGAACAATATCTATTCTTTTAGGATAGATTTTGAATGCTTAGGAATAAAATATGTTGTCAAATTCATCCTGTGAGTGCTGGGGAGGAGGAGTAGATACAGACTGAGTGAGAGTGCCCAAGCTGATGGCCCTTGACGTGGCGTGATGGCACAGGGGAAATCACCACACTATAATTCTGTGTATGGCTTCAATTTTCAATAATAAGTTAAAAAAAAAAAAGACTCTGGTTTCTACTTTGTGATGTGATGATTTCTTCTCATTTGCTTTTTGTTCGAGGTCAGCTACAGAATCATGCAGAACTGTGGCCCCAAAAGCTGCAGGGACAATAGTAACCTGGGTAAGTGACCTACAGGCTCAGGCTCTTAAGACTCCTGTGCAAGGGTGACAAGAGGCATGACCGTCGGCCCACAGCAGACCTGCTGCATGTCACTGGATAGCCAGAATTCCCTTAGACACGTTAAAGAAATGACAGAGTGTATAATGTGAATTAAAAGTTTAAAAAGACAGAAAACCCAATTGCAGAGCCCCAAAAGGGCAGGCAAATTCAATTAAGGGGGGGCCAGATCTCTAGCAGCACTATGCAGAGCAATCCAGCTTTGTGGAACGGCATGGTGGGAGAAGTCAAAGGATAGGTCAAGCCTACTGGTTTGGAGAGGATGATATAAAAACACATCCCCAGAGTCCAGCCCAGTCAGGGAGTCAAGCATGCTTGGAAGGAAGCCAGCAAGGTAGGGAGCTAAAGGAATGCCAGATGAACCCTACATTTGGCTCCTTGCAGGGCCTAAAAGATAAATATTTTAAGGATGAGCAATCACAAGGCAAGCAAAGCATTTTAAAAGCATTTCCCTCTGTATTGGGCTCAAGTGAAAGGAAGTTCTATAGGTGTGTGTTTCAGAACAGCCACTCCAAACTGTCCTCTCGAGGCTCTTACCTTGGTCTGTTTCTTCTCAGTGGCATAGACGATGGAGGTACAACAGACTTCAGCAATCTTCCGGCCCTGACCATAAAAGGACCAGCAGCAGATTTCATCCCCAATAACATCCTTTATGAACAGGACCCTTCCGTTAAAGCGCAGAGACAGCTTATCAAACAGTTCAATGTTTTTCAACATATTGTCGTCAGAATTGCTGCAAAAGAGCATTTGATACGGTGACCACAAGCTGGTAAAAACTGCCATCATTTGCTGGGCCCTTCTACACGCAGGGCCCTACTGAGCCCACTTTCTCCACTACCTCATTTCAACCTCACAATAATCCCATGACAAAGGCACTCCAATCTCCATCACTCAAGAAGGAAAGTGAGGATCAGAGAAATTAGGTAATTGCTCAAGGCTGAACCTAATAAATGGCAGACACGCCCCCCAAAAGACAGCCCTGGCCCCTAAGCCTGAGTGCTCCTAACCATTGTGCTTGAGTGACAGCCTCTGGGCACAGGCACCAGGTGGAGGAGAGCACCTCACCGAGCCCCAAGAGGAGCAGAATGGCACTGCCCAAGGGAGACTCTATATCCTAGGTCTTTTTAAAGATCTTGAGTAACCTGATTAAATCCTCCCTGCATCCCTCAAGTTCCTGAGTTAGAGCCACATGTTTTCAAGGGCCAAATGGCATTCTAGAAACCTGCATATATTGCTGGTGGGAATGTAAAATGGTGCAGCCACTTTAGAAAACAGTTTGGCAGGTCCTCGAATGATTAAACATAGAATTACCACATGACCCAGCAATTCTGTTCCCAGAGAAATGAAAACGTAAGTCCACATAGAGACTTTGCATGAATGTTCATAACAGCATTACACACAATAGCCAAAAAGTGCAAACAACCCAAATGTCCATCAACTGATGAATGGGTAAAGAAAATGTGGTCTACACTGTGGAATATTATTCTGCCATAAAAAGGAATGAAGTATTGATTCATGCTACAACATGGATAAACCTTGAAAACCTCTTAGGTAATCTCATTATGCTGAATGAAGGAATCTGGTCACAAAAGGCCATATATTATGCAATTCCATTCACATAAAAATGTCCAGAACAGGCAAATTCATCAAGACAGAAAACAGATTAGTGGTTACCTAGGGCTGTGGGGTTGGGGAAGCAATGGTTGAGGGAAAATGGGGAGTGACTGCTAACGAATAGAGGGTTTCTTTTCAGGCAGTGAAAAAGTTCTAAAATTAGATAGTCGTTATGGCCTCACAACTTGTGAATATATAAAAACCACATATTGTGAATATAATAATAACTGTACACTCTAGAAAGATGACTTTTATGATATGTGTGAATTATAGCTCAGAGTTATACCCCTGTATCCATCTGTCTACTTATCTATCCAGGCAGAGAGGTACAGAGGGGTCATCCTCATCTGAAGGTACGAAGAAGAGCTGGGCCTGGCTGGTGTGAGTGGAGGTTTTCCTAGTAAATGGAGCTGTCTTTCCCGGCTGACGCCTTACCTGGTATATGAGTATTTGTTGTTACTTCTGTTGTAGAGCAACTTCACGGCTGGCTGTGGGTTGTTTTAAAAGAAGAAGAAGAGAGTTACTTGGCAGGCAGATGCAATGAACTACTAGCTTCCCATAGGGCTGGGGCCCTGCCCTGCATCAGAAGAGGCAGACAAGCATAGCTTGCTGGCTGGAGAGGGGGACCACATGACCCAATAGCAGGGGCACAAAAGATGACCTGTAGCTTCCCACTGTGAACCCATTATCAGGCCTCACTCAGGCAATTATACATGTTTTTATTTCAAAAGTTATTCAGAAGAACCTCCATCATTTCTGGTAGCAAAAGAAATTCCACAAGGGTGCCTCCAACATACCTTATTTGAAGTCGCTATAAGTTTTTGTTCTTCCTTGGATGAGGTGATCACAGGGACCTTGCAGAAAGGCTCATAAGTATCTTTGTTCTGCTGGAACAAAACATGCTTTCAGCCTAGGAGGCCTGCCTAGCACTGCATTTTTAAAGTTGACCGGCTGGACAGGCTCTGGCGAGGGGAGATGGGGCAGTCATGGCTGGGAAGAGAGAAGGATTCTCACCACCAGTGAACTAGATGGGGGAAGACAGGGAGTTGAATTTCCCAGTAAGTCTGCTCTTTGGCTATGACCATGATAGGCCAGGATGCTGAGTAAGTACTAACAATGATGACACATTTTCCACAGCCCAGGAAGCCACTCAAAAATAAACCCTTGACGTGGCAGCAGAAACGTGTTTTAATCAAAAGCTCCTAAAACCCCACTACCATGACTGCAGAGGAATTAAAAAAAAAAGCATAAACCCATAAGGGGAAAAAGAATGGGAGAAGTGAGGTCAGCAGACCAGTAAAAAAAGTCAAAAATTTGAGGGTAGAAAGGTCACAGGTGAGCGTTAACCAAGGAGAGGGGGAAAGCTGAAACCAGTGGGCGGAAGCACTGGAAAGATCCCCAAATCCATCTCCGTCCCCATGCAGGCAGAAGAAAGGGCCATCTTCCTGCAGTGGTTTGCACGGTAGAGGACAGGGCTGAGCTGCGATTCTGAAAACGGGGGGACAAGTGAACATCACACTAAGTGATGAGCAACCCCAGCTCCTTCCCCTTCCAGATCCCCAAAGGCAGCCGGCCAGGCCTAGACCCGTCAGGCAGGAGGAGAGTAGAGGATTCCTCTTCAGGAACACCACCTGCTTCCCCCAAAATGGCTTACAGATTCTGACAGTTGGGGGTCCCGCTGAAAAAGTCTGCCTTATCACCCACAATGCAGCCCAGTGGACAACAAGGACCTTCCATGCACAAACAGCTTTCAGAGTCTCTCATTCCTTCAACAGACAGCCAAGCATCATCAGATTACATGTGAAAAGCCTCTTTAACATGAGAACAAAACCAAAACAAAGACAGGAAAAGAGGAGGAGTCAGATAATGAAGGGAGAAGAAAGAAAACAAACAGAATCATCAGACAGTTGAGAGCAGATACGGCCTCCTAGGAAACAAGATGAGCACGCTGTGGAAAGCAGGGCATTCGGACAGCAAGAAAAGGCTCCTGAAGTTAGAAAGACGAAGCAGAAATGAAAATTTTGATAGAAGGGTTGAAAAGGTGAAAAATAAAACTTCTGAGAAAGTAGAACAAAAGGATAAAGCCAGAGACACTAAGAGGAAAGAATTAGGAGGTCAGTCCTGGAGGTCTAACCTTAGACTAACAGAAACGAGACCCAGGGGCATGTCTCCAAGACAAAGATGAAACAGAACCTCTGATGTGTCTGAACACACCACTATGAGACCGCTGAGAACGTGGGGCTGAAGTAGGAACATATATTTAGAAAACCAAGTGAACAAAACAATGAGGCAATCCCTAACTCTGGCAAACTTAAAGTTATAGAAGAAAGAAAATAATCACTGTACACTCTGTGGCTTAACTGTCAGCCGTATTTACACGTCATGACGTAAACTCTGAATTTAACCAAAACTGTGATGAACTGTACTGGGAGAATGGGAGAAGGAAAAGTATGCCTAAGCTTGGTGGGGGTAGAGGTAGGGGCAGTGCGTGAGCTAAATTCTAGTTTCTATAGTCATGCCAGTAGATAATGTCAAAAACTGGGAATTCAATAAAGAGCAGCACAGGCGAATTATGTGGAAACATAAATGTGAACAGAAAAAACTGCTGAAAGAATTCACAGAGGTTACTGCAAGGGTGAAGGAGAGTAGGAGGGGTATGGTGGTGTTTTGATGTTAACCTTGCAGCACTATTTGACTTCTTGAAGGATGCATGTGCATCACTTTCAACAGTGTAGTAATAATAAAAAAGTAAATGCTGCAACATTCAGTTAGGTCTGCAGTGAGTTCAGACTCTCAGAGTAGAGGTGGTGTGCAGCATTATGGGTACTGGTCCGGTGCGGGGCCAGACACAGACATGTGGTGTGGGGGAGGCCCAAACAAGGGCCTCATGCACACAGACCAGATTCCTACGAAAACCCAAAGGGATGCTTCTGATGCTCTGCCACGTTGCAACTTTGTTTGAAATAAAGGGGTGTTGGCCATGTCTAGAAGCATTTTGTTTTTGTGGGATTTTACTGTCACCAGACCTGACTCCAGTGGTCCTGCTCTGTCTAGCTAAGGAGTGAGGGGTGTCTGTCTGTAGAGATTATGCTGAGCTCCCAACAATGACTTGTGGGACTAGAGTAAGCCCTAAGATTGGTCCCGAACACCGACCAAGTTTCACACCGCGGGGTTCTCTGCTGAAGGGTTGAGATGTACACATGAGAAGATCCAACAGCATGGGGCTGCAAGGAGTGACACAGTAGTTAGGTGGCCTGCTGTTCCAGGGAGGCCTCTCAGGGGTCACTCCAACCGAAGGAATCGGGCTCCAGGGCAAACTCATTAACTCTCACAACATCTCAGTCAGACAGAAACTGCCCCCATTTTGCAGAGAGGGAAAATGAGGAAGGCAGGTAGGCTTGGTGCCTCTCCACCCATATGGGAAGAAAGGGTGATGCCTACTTGTAGGGCCGCCTGGCACTCTTCCACCAGGCCTTGGACTAGGTAGTACTTGGCTTCTGCTAGCAGCTCCTCGATCTCCCGGCGGCTCTCGGGTAAAGGCACCGCCCCGTCTCGAAGGTAGTTGAGTATCGTACCAAAGTGCTTCCCACAGCGGTCAATGAGGATCCAGCCTGCAGAGGGAGGAGGCAGGGGCTGGTTACATGGGCCCTCCTCTTGTGGGAGGCCCTGAGCAGAGCTGGGGTGTCTCTCGGCTCCCTCTACCTCCCAGCGGAGAGCGGGACTGCCTGGAGAATGGCAGCCTCACCTGCCTACCTGCCCACTAAGGGCTGAGGAAGCCCCCACAGCCTCCAGGCCCTACTGGCTGGACACAACCATAACCCCAGGTGACCCTGGTCTGAGGCTCTGTTAGACATCCCGACTCTTGAGGCCCAAAAGTACACTTCTGAAGTACCCTCAAATATCCCTTACACAAGGACATCCAACAGGGGCCTCGTGTACCACACCTGGGTAAAACAGGCCCAAATGGCCACATACCAAGGATAGAAGAAAGCCTTCTGGGTAAAAAATATCTACTTCCTCTTTCCACAAAGCTTCCTTCAAACTGTCACATTAACAGAGCCATTTCTAAGAACGCACAAGTCTCACCCTCGCAGACTGTGACCTCTGACTCCCAAGGCTGAGCCCTAGACACTGACCAGCACCAACACAGGAAGTCCTATCCCACAACTTCCTGCAACAAGCACTTAGTGGCTAGTGAATGACCAAGACAGACCCCACCCTCAGGCAGCTCGGTAAACATGGGGAGACAGAATCAGCTTTTATTGGATATGGAAAAAGGTCCCAAAGCTGACCAAATCCAGGCACTGTGAAACATTCTTGGGGGTGGGGGCCAGGAAGACTCCCTACTCTGCTGCTCAATGTCCTTTCTAATCTTGTCACTGAGCTGACATTCCTCCACCAGAGATCCTGAGGGTTTTCAGAACTCCTCTACTGAAATGCAGTGTCTCTGGGAGTGGTATTTGTAGAAGACAGGACTGGAGCCTAGGAGGAGGAGGTACCAAAAAGGAAGGCAGGAATGGAGCAAAGTCCAAGTATCTCCCAACAGCAAATGTGAAGCTCTAAAAAGAAGCCAGACAGATGAGAGGGTGAAGTCGAGGCCTTCTGACAAGCAGGGTGACCTCAGGCAAGGGGCGTCCCCACGGCTCCTGCCACGCATTACAGGTGGAAAATGCCAGTGCGCAGGGCCGTGAGAAGGCTTCAGTAGGAATCGGTCACTTTATGCTACCACCTTCCTCCCCACTTTGGGAGAAGGGCCAACATTTCCACTCCTAACAACGCTGTGCCCTGTTCCACTCCTAACAATGCTGTGCCCTGTTCCACGTCCTCCTCAGACTGGGCCCTACTGATCCTGGGCCTTGGATCAGTGGCAGAGGCCAGCAAAAGTTGAGAGCAGCAAACGCATCTTTTTCACAATCCAGAGTCTTAAGTCTGCCCGCTTTCCCCTACCCCTTACCTGGCAGGTCCAGTCCCTGCCAAGTGCCCTCTCATGGTTTTAGGGCATAGTTTGGTATTCTTTGCATGAATTGCCAGGAAAGTTTGATAACAGGGCCGTTTCCAGGTTCCCCTGATGAAACAGCTCAGCCTAAAGTTCCTGGGCCTTTTGTTAAAAGAACGGTCTCCACCCTCCAGCGGCTTCCACTTCCTACTTCCGCACTGTTCCAATTTCCTGAGTAGGTGGGAAGAATACCCCAAGTGGGGGGAAATGCAATACAAATGTATAGCCCTGAGTCAACTCCTGGTTTCAGGGAAGAAAGAGGCCTTCCCAGGCATGGTAAATCACATCACCCTGACAGTGACCTGCAAATGTGATCCCACCCCACTTCTTTCTACATCTGAGAAAACAAAATATGGAATTAATATCTTATGCAACCCAGATGCCTCCAGGGCCAGTAAGCACAATAAATGAGTGCAGCTGGGCGGGGCTGAGGCTGGGGCTGACAGGACAGCATCTGCCCTGCCCCCAAGAGAGGCAGGCTCTTCCCACTCCAGCCAAGAGTGGCCAGGCAGGAATGTGGGCCCAAGAGCTGTGAGCTCTGATGTTCCATGCAATGCCAGAAACCCAGATTTTTCTGTGAATTCCCTGATTTTTAAAGGACGGTAAACTAATTAAAACAAAACAAAACTGTCATCAACCCACCACAAGGCAAACAAAACACATCTGCAGTTGAACTGGGCCTGCAGGCTACCAGCTTGAGGCCTCTGTGCTACCCTACACCAAGTAATTTTTTCTCAGAAGGCTGACAAGGCAGGGAAAGACCGTATTATCTTTCTACCAGTTCTTTTTTGAGGGGAGCTCATTCCCTTGCATTTTCCACAAATAAAACAGAGGCTCAGAGAGGTGCAGTGCCATTCCCAAGCAGAGGCAGCAGGACTAGACCACAAAGAAAAAGTAAGGCACTCATAGGAAAACTCCTTTCACCAGAATTGAAAAGATAAATAGAATTCAACTCAGCTGCGCAGGGAAGGAACCTTCCACGTTCTGCCTTTGATGTCTGCAGAACTCAGCTGCTTGGGAAGACCCAGGGCCCTGAAATCAATTATCCAAATGACAGCCCAGAGTTCCCATAAATGAACAGGCAGACCGTGACACTGGGCTCCGGCTCAAGAATGCCGTCAGGAAATGCTTGTGGCGAAAGAATCATACTTTGGACAAATAAGGGCAAGGGAGCCAGGCACACTCTCCAGGAGGTTTCAATCAGCGTTTTGACTTTAAGATACTGTGGTTGCTTTCAAAGCAGGAAGTGATCCCTTTGAAAGTCAGCTCAAATGCCTAGCACGTAGAAAGACAAATGGAAGTCAAGCAGCTCCTCGCATGTGGGGGGTCTCTCTCCTGCTGCCACGGGGCACGAGAGCTATTTAGGAAGGCTGTCCAAAGTCAGGGCAGCCTGGGATCCCAGACCCATTAGGCAAGGCTGGAGAGCAGAACTGACCGGGACCACACTGGGCAGCACTGGACTTGGGCTCCAGGACGTCCTCAGCACAGCACAGCAGTTAAGTGTTGGAAACCCAGCTCTGATACCTTCTTGCTGGATGACATTGGTGCTTCAATTAACCTCTGTCTAGCAGTTTTCTCTTCTACAAACGATCTCACAGGGTTGACATAAAAATATGATGAAAGAACGTACAGAAGGCACACAGCACAATGCTGGGTCTACCAACAGCACTCAAAAGCAGCTATGGGTCTTTAACAATCTCATCTTTCATCATTATTGCTGGAAGCAGAGCAGCAGCGTCCAGAGGCAGCAAGTTCCAGCCCCCAGGATGGAGTTGGTGTTGCTTTCAGGGACCCAAGGGAGGAGAAGGCTGCTCTGGGGGTCAGGAGGATTGGGCCACTAGGCTCCCCTCCTCCCCGCCCCGTGAGCATACCATGTGCTTCCTCTCTCCCTGGATGTCTGACCTCTCCTTTCCCCTCTCCCACCACCTCCAGGGAACCTTCACTGACCTCTCTTTGCCATCCTAAGGTATTTATACTCTATATTTTTGTGGTTCCCAAACACCCCTGATCATAAATGCCACCCAAGGTACTTGTGAAAAATTCAGATTCTAGCAACCTGCCTCATTCCTGATCAGAATCCCTAGGGCAGGGTCTCCAACCTGAGCACTTTGACATTTTGGACCAGATAATTCTTAGTTGTAAGAGGCTGCCCCGCACATTGTAGGGTATTTAGTTGCATCCCTGGCCTCTACTCACTTGACGCCAGGAGCACCATCATCCCCAAGAAACAACAAAAATGTCTCTGGACATTGCTAAATATCCCAAAAAATCACCCATTGGTTTGGGCATCACTGAGGTAGATCAAGGATGTAAGTGTAAAAAAGCGATTTAAACTCTGAGGTTTCCAAAAGCCCCATTAAAAAAGCTCAGACAAGTCAGACTGGGAGAAGATATTTGCAGCACTGGACCCCAAAGAAACAGGATCCAGTATATGAACTTTTGCAAAGTAATAAGAAAAAGGCAAATGTGTAAGTAAGATGCAATCAAGCAGTTAAAAGATTAAACTCAAAAGAGCAATACACATAAAAACATGCTCAACGTACCAGACATTAGGAAATACTGAATAAAACAAGGTACCATATCATACTCACCAGATTTGCAATAATTAAAAGGTTGGACAGTGCCAAGGGTTGGCAAAAATCCAGACTTCTGCAGGGAGTAGAAGTTGCCATAACCACTCCAGAAGGGACTCCTGCAATATCTAAGGAAGTAGAAGATGCTGTCCCAATTCCCCTCCTGGGAATAAACTCTAGGGCTGAGCTCCCAACAGTGGGTAAGATCTTAAAGCCATAGCCCTTGAGATGGCTGGGTGGGATCTAGGGAGTCCAGAGCCCCCTCATTTGCCAAAGTGAAAATATGATTGTCTACGTGCCCCATGATGTGGCAAAGGCTGGGCAGCATCGCACAGAGAAACTCCCACGCACGGGGAAAGCGTTCAAGGATGTTCACATTCGTCACAGTGAACACCGCAAACCCTCTACATGATCATCAACAGAATATGGCTCCGGCAGCGGCTGTATGCTTCTAGAATGGACACTCTACCACCGGAAAATGTCTGAACGAGAGCTATTTAGTTGTGGATTGATCTCACAAGCATAATGCTACGTAAGCAAAAGCAAAACATACAAACTGTACAGCACCATTTACATCACGTTTAAAAACACACCAACAGCGCCTTGTTTAGGGACATGCACAGCTATAGTAAGAGTAATACCTGGAAAGATGGACACTTGTGGTTCTCAATGCTGGTTGCACACTAGAATCACCCAGAGAGCTCTTCAAAGTCCTACTGCCTGGGCCACACCCTGGCTGGGACCCAGGCACCAGTACTGACCTCCTCAGGTGACTCCCTCTGTAGCCAAGCTTGAGATCCACCTGGTGACCCCAAATGCTTACCTTTGGAAGGGAGAGGGACAAACAGAGAAGGCACAAAGGGGCCCCACAGGTACAGGTCATACTTTATGCCTGGGCTGAGCCTGGTGGCACAGGTGAGTTTGTTGTATTATTCACAATTTAAAAGCTCTCAGGTACTTCAGAATTTTACCAAAGAGCATTGTCATGGAAGGCAGAAGGGCTGGAGATCTCAGGGAAACCCCCAGGAACTGCAGTTTTCCCATGGATCAGACTGGACTTCCCAGTTTTCTAGGGGAATGTGCGATCACAAAATGAATGACTCTTCAATCTAGTGTACGCACTAATTCCAAAATACATTAGCAAGACATCAGAAAACCTACAATAGGGGGAAGTATTGTACGAAGCAACAGGGATGAAACAGACCACTACAGGCAAATGCTGAACAGAATGCATTGTGAAAGGTGCTACCTACATCCGTGGACCAATGGCAATGCTGACAAGGAGTCAGGTGAAAATTCTAGCATTGTGGGAACTGAACCTTTCCGGGAAGAGTCTGGAAAGGGCATGCTCACTGCCACAGTGTCCTTGTCTTCTCAGAAAAGCCATCCCTTGGGGGTAGTGTGGAACTGCAGCACACTCATCCCTGAAGGCCAAGGCAGGCAGCCTCTCCCGACATGCTGCTAAGACCTGCTTCTCTGTAGCCCCTCAGCAACACTCATCCCCCCAACATTTACACTCAGAACAAAAGCCATAATTGACAGTTCCCATTTACTGAGTTCTCCCAACATCTCAGGCCCTGTGGCAAGCGCTTTCTCATGTCCTCACTCAATCCCCAACTCTGCAAAACATTATCATTCATAACTGGGGAAGGAGGAAAGAGGTTCAGAGAAAAAGCCACTTGTCCAATGTCACATGACCAGTAAATGGCAAATAGGCCAAAATTAGCACAACATGTAGACAGAGCTCCACAAATGTCGGCTGTGACTGTGACATGCAGCAGAGCCAGGTGTTGAACCCAGGCCTGGCTAACATCAACATCCAAGTTCTTCTTGGTTTAGGAGTTACTTGCACACAGTACAAAACTCAATCAGGTAGAAGGGCCCAGAGCAAAAAGGAGACTATTCCCCCCATGCTGGATGCCAGGTCCCCTCTCCTGAAGCAATCACTTTCTTGGGCAACATGACACATCCCCTGTTCAGGACCTTCAAAGCCCCTGTCCTTTAACCAGCAAGCTGTACTGCTGGATTCACTGCCTGGCTGAGCTGCACTTGGCATTTCTGCCTATTTGTAGCAAACTTCATTGCAGCTGACAGGCTTCCAGCCTGTAGGCCAGGGTAGAGCTGCAGGATGCAGGGAGTCTATCCCAGTTTGTAGACCCAAGGGTGCATTTGAGGCAACATGCAGGCCATGGGTCAGGCTATGCAGTGCTCTCTCCAAGGACCGACAGGATCGCTCTGCCAGACACAGACAACAGCTGGAAGGCCAGATACCCAGCCTACCAGCCCAGGCCTTCACGAGGGCCCCCACCAGAGGGCTTTAGCACAAAGACAGCAGTTAAACCATAAGGATGCCACACTCAAATGATCTGGCCTTGGACCAGGCCCACAACTAGCCATGGACAGCAGACAGTAAGAGGCAGCAAGTCCTGGGTTCAGCAGCTTCACCTTTTCTAGTCCCATCAGCTTTTGAAAAAGCATTTCACCTCTGAAATGGGGACTCCTCACTTGGAATGGCAACAACAGTATCCACCCCTCGAAGGGTTATGGTGAGGATTAAATGAAACAATACCCATCGGCTGTGCGTGGTGGCTCACGCCTGTAATCCCAGCATTTTGGGAGGCTGAGGTGAGAGGATGGCTTGAGCCCAGGAGTTCGAGGCCAGCCTGGGCAACATAGTGAGGCCCCATCTCCAGAAAAAAATTCTAAAAATTAGCTGTGTTTGGTGGTGCATGCCTGTATTCCCAGCTACACAGAAGGCTGAGGCGGGAGGATTGCTTGAACCCAGGAGATGGAGGCTGCCGTGAGCTATGATGGCCCTAGTGCACTTCAGCCTGGGTGACAGAGAAAGACCCTGTCTCAAAAAAAGAGAAAAGAATGCCCCATAAAATGCCATACCATTAGCTTTTCATAATGATATGAAGCAGGGGCTGAGCTCCGGTGACATGAAACAAGTCACAGTTTGCAGTGTCAAAATGACACTGTGTCCCCCGAGAACCTGTGTTTTCCAGGCAGCACCAGGAGAAAAACATCTCATAGCAGGGATTTAGAAGGTGAGCAGTCCTGCCAGTACCACTCGTATGCTCTGTCCAGTCGGGGACAGGGGGACAGAGGAGTCCGTTTCTTTTTTGATATGGCATCAGGCCACCAAGGCGAGGCCTTTCGAGGAGAAGAGCCTCAGCTTTCGAGGCAACTCAGCAGCCTTTCCTGAGCCCCTCCAGAGAGTGGGTAGGGTATGAGAAAAACCACAACAATCCTGGTTCTCAGATAATGCCTGCTTCCTCCAGCAGCGGGGGTGCTATTGTCTTGATTTCCACAGATACTCTCGGGCCATGTGGGGTGTGGCACAGCAAAGAGGATCCTCCCACTCATAAAAAGCTAAGTGTGAGATGGCAGCTTTGGGGCTCCAACCTCAGTTCGCTGCTGCCTGAACAGAAACCGGAGTTCACAGGAAGCAGAACCTCCAGCCCCACACCCTGGCCTTCCCCAGGACACAGAGAGGAATGTCCTCACCAGTGGGTAGCCCAAGCCTCAGCCCTCTTAGGATCAGAGAATTAACTGTGGGACACCAGGCTTAGGTCCCCCAATCCCACCCGCTTATGTGAAAACTCACCCACCCTCCCAAGTCAATGTCCCTGGAAAGGTAGGGCAGCAGCACAGAAGACCAGTCTCAGAAACAGGAAGGCGGGGTCAAG
Organism: Homo sapiens; assembly: GCF_000001405.40. Classification (NCBI taxonomy): domain Eukaryota; kingdom Metazoa; phylum Chordata; class Mammalia; order Primates; family Hominidae; genus Homo; species Homo sapiens. Next base: position 109,468,456 of record NC_000012.12, read on the forward strand.
GTCAAGCCAGGCTGTGCCCTGGCCTGGTCTTAAGCAATCTCAGGCCAAGGAATGAAGGATGGTACTATTTTTAAACCTCATGTGACCTGCACGCAAACCCAGCCAGGTAAGGATGGAGCCCTGTTGTCAGGGGCTCTTTGATCATTCCAGGTGAGTAGGAAGTAGTTATGACAATGCCCCTCTCAACAATTCTTTGCCTTTTTTTTTTTTTTTTTGAGACGGAGTCTCGCTCTGTCGCCCAGGCTGGAGTGCAGTGGCGCGATCTCAGCTCACTGCAAGCTCCGCCTCCCGAGTTCACGTCATTCTCCTGCCTCAGCCTCCCGAGTAGCTGGGACTACAGGCACCCACCACCACGCCCGGCTAATTTTTTGTATTTTTAGTAGAGATGGGGTTTCACCTTGTTAGCCAGGATGGTCTCGATCTCCTGACCTCGTGATCCGCCCGCCTCAGCTTCCCAAAGTGCTGGGATTACATGCATGAGCCACTGTGCCCAGCCGATTCTTTGCCTTTTAATAACATGACTTTCCACAAGAAAAAGAAAAACGTGTGTGTGTGTGTGTATATCTATCTATCTATCTACACACACACATATACACACATGCACTGAATACTGACTATGTGCCGATGGCCCCACGGGGGAGGGTATTGTCATGCCCATTTCACCAGAGGAAGAAAATGAGACCAAAAGCTTCGGCCACTTGGTTAGGATCACCAGATACTAATGGGGAGCTGAGACTGAAACCCAGGTTGGCAAGTCTTTGTCAAGACCCCATCTTGGGAGGACAAGGGTCCAGGGAAGATACCTCTCTCTCCCCCAGGCTTGAGTTTCACTCTGAAGTCACAGAAGCATGGCAGAGATAAGCAAGCTAAGCCCTGGGTGAGGAAGTGACTTTCTCAAAGTAACATAGCAAATCAACGACCAAGTCAAGATGGTGGGAGTCCCCAACAAGCTGCCTCCTACACATCTTCAGGTCTCGACTTAAATGTCACTTCTTCAGGGAAGCCCTCCTTGACCACATAACGCATGGCCAGAGGCAGGCACATGGTGGGTGAGCTTACCTTCACTGTCGGTGAGCACTTCCATGCGCCCGCTGAACATGGCCTTCAGCATGGTGTCCTGCTTGGTCAGCGTCTGCATGGTGGTATAGTAGAGGGCTCCACCCACATTCAGCTTCACGTATTTGGAGCTGGGGCTCGTGCCCTTGAAGGAAGTGGTGCGGGTAGCAGCCGCTGGCACCGCTGAGCTCACCACACTTTCTCCTGACATCTCTTCCTGCCAGTGGAGAGGATACAGGGTCATGACATCAGGCCTGGTTGACTGCTTTCAGCCTGTGGATTCAATCTGGCCTCCAGATGTGTTTTGCTTGGGCCACGCATACACAGCATTTAAAAGTTTGCTTCCAATGTGGACAACTAAGGAGAGCTCACAGAAAAATCTGGACTTCTGGCTTCTCCTAAAATCAGAGGCCAACTGGGCTAGCAGGGGAACAACTGGTCAGAGCTGGGGTATTGGATGACCCCTAGAGAGGGCCATGCATCCCCTAGTTTGTCCCAAAACCCACCCAAAAAGCCTCATACACTGACCCTGCCTGTCGACCCTGCAGGCACAAGGGTGCCCCTAACTCTTGTGTTATAAGCACTTCCTTTCTGCCTAGCACCTGTATACATGAACACCCTGGCTGCACCCTAAAACAGCCTAAAGCACTGCCCAGGTCTCTTTACATTTCCTTATTGCCATGTACCACTCAATAGCTAGCTAAGTGTCATTTTTCAGCTGCATCACAGATGAAATAAGCTTTATGAAGTTGAATGGGATTCCAGCTGGCACTCCTATCACTTCCTGTAGGGAGAAGGTGTTTCTGAGGACTAAACAACAGACATGGAAACTTTTGGAACCAAGTTATTGCAAAATTAGACCTCCTAGACTAGTGCTGCCCAAAAGAGCAAGATCCCACTACCATCTCCCTGATAGCATGGCTGACTCTCTGTACATCTCAAAGAAATGGATACAGTGGCTGATTTACGCAGGCCTGGAAAGTGAGATTGGTATCCGGCACATGTGTACTCAGAGCAAACATGTCTGAAATGAACAGGTAAAACTGTAGAGGTGGAGATGTGCAAGGGTGGGCAGAATCTTTGCTGAATCTGGGGTAGCCCCCACGGCTGGCCCTACCATTCCCATTGAACATCAACAGTTTTTCACAGCACATCACCCTCAGACAAGGCCACTCTGTGCCCTTGCGACAAGACAAAAACAGGACCATTCAGTCATCATGTCCGGACACAGACAAAAACATAAACATTATCCAAAATACAAAAATGACCAAAGATCCCCTATCCTGGCTAATAGGAGTTATAGCTGCTGCTTTACCAATGAGAGGTTTAGCCTCCTTCCATTCTTCCTGCTTTCAAGTCAGGAATCACTGAGACCCAATCACAGAATTAGCCCTGCTTCCCAGCAGCATCCAACACAGAGCAAAGCCCCACTTCTCTGAACTGTCTCTCAAATCACCCAACACAAGCCCACAGCCCTTCTCTGAGATGTCCCACAGTTCTTCCCCACCCCAATGCAACAAGGAAATAAACCCAACTTTGCTTGACTACAGGTATGCTCCTCGTGCTTTTTGGCTGCAGGGCACTGACAGCACATAACTTGTTTGAACTATTCCCTGAAACTGAAAAAGAATTGTCTAGCTTTTCCAGATTTTCTATAATGAATGGGTACTACAACTATAACTGGTAAAACACAAACGTTATTTTTGTAAATGGGACTGGGAGTAAAGGGAGGCAGCTTGCAACAGCAGAAGCAACGCGACAGTCATGGACAATATTCAATTCAAGGTTATCCAACTCTTCTGGCCAACTCTCCCCAACTCCATGGCACCCAACAGTGGCCTGGATATCACCTGCCATGTCAGGGCCCTGCAGAGTGAAACAGAGAAAGAACGGCCTCCTGGAAAGAAATGTTTTCTCAAGAAACAGTTCCTTTTTCATCAAGAAAAGTCACAAGAAAATATGTTTTCAAAAGCTCAGGCTTAGCTCACCTGGGGTCTTTGCTGCCCGATGCCAAACACAAAAGAGGTCCAGAAGAAGCAGTTACCCCTCCTTTCTAGCTGTCCTCTGAAATCAGTCCCCAGAGACCTCACACTAACAGTTATGACCAGCCACCTCCCTCAGAAAAATCCTTTGTCCATGGGATGACAGGAGTAGCTTATGGAAATAAAAGTTTCCAAAAACTGTGAAGACCTCGAAGGGGGGGAGAAAAGGCTTACGGTCATGGGTGAGGGTGTGTGTTGAGGAAATTTGCCCCAAAATGCAAATACTTTTTAAGCACCCCTTTCAGATCTAATTTTATATAATAAATGCTTGTTATGGGAAACGATCTAGCATTTTGGAAGGTGCCTATCATGAAACAGACAAAAAAGTACATAAAGTATACTTCATGTAAAGTCAAAGCACAGTAAATATGTGATATGAAGGATTTTTTTCTAATGGCATACTTGTATAGGACACTTACCATGAATGGAGTGTGTAGGCCTGGAAATTGCTCTGGGTGAGCGAGTGGTGAGTAAATGTGAAGGTCTAGGACATTACTGTACACTACTGTAGCTTTATCAACACTGCACAGGGAGGCCACACTACATTTATTTAAAATATTTTTTCTTTCCATAATAAATTAACCTTTGCTTACTGTAACTTTTTACTTTAAAAACTTTTTAATTTTTTTTTAACTTTTGGACCCTTTTGTAATAACATAGCTTAAAACACATATTGCACAGCTGTACAAAAATATTTTCTTTCTTTATATCCTTATTCTATAAGCTTTTTTCTCTTTTTTTACTTTTTAAACTTTTTTATCCAAAACTACAAAATACACACACATTAGCCTAGCCTACACAGGGTCAGGATTATCAGTATCACTGTCCTCCACATCCTGTCCCACTAGAAGGTCTTCAGGGACAGTAACACGCATGGAACTGTCATCTCCCGTAAGAATCCCTTCTTCTGGGATACCTCCAGAAGCACCTGCCTGAGGCTGTTTTACAGTTTTCACTTAAAAAAAAAAAGGCAGGTAGGAGTATATTCTAAAATAACCATTAATAGTAAATACATTAACCAGTGATATATCTATCAAGTTCATTACTATTATCGACTATTATGTACTGTACATAATTGTGTGTGCTAGACTTATACAACTGGCAGCAAAGTAGTTCTGTTTACACCAGCATCACCACGAACACGTAATATGTTGTGCTACCACTGAAATGACAGCTACACTATCACTGGGCTACAGGAATTTTTCAGTTCCATTATAATCTTAAGGGACTGTTATATACGCAGTCTGTCACTAACCAAACTGTCATTATGTGCGCATGACTGTACCTTTTTTGGCTTTCCAATACCTTTTTAAAGATAATTTGCACATAATGAAGTATACTTTAAGTGTACAGTTTGATGTGTTTTGGTCAATACTTGCACCTGTGTAGCCCCCACTCCAATCAAGCTGTCTTGGAACATTTCCATGCCTCCAGAAAGCCCCTCGGTGTCCCTTGACCACTGCATTTCTACCACATGCCTTTTACAAATTCAAACAATGCTGGAAGACAGCTATAGTTATTTCCATTTTGTGGATTTGGATGCCACAGCCCCATCAGGGTCAGTCACTCTCAAGCTGGAGTTGAGTCAGTGACGGGGCCAGTGAAGGACATGGGCAAGTGGTGGCTGGCCCAGAGACCATCACACCTAGTAGATTGAGAGCTATGATACATAAGCTGAGAAAGGCCAGCCTCACCTCCCTTCTTTAAAAAGTACAAAAAGCCCTGAAAATAGTCGCGAGGTAAAGTGTGGCTAAGGGTTTGGAGTTAGACCTGTGCATAAGGCCCCAGCCCTACCACTTAGTAGCTGTGTCCAGGGCCAAAAGCCTCACCTCCCTCACAGGGCTCCCTAGCTCTGAGTAAACACTCCAAACACTCAAATTATGATGATTTGAGAATGCTCCCGAAGTCTCAAACTATCTTCTCTTTGGAAACTGTTTCCAGCTCTAATGGCAGACGGCATGACTAAGAGATAAAGGCAGGAGCCATCCTGATCTAGAATGAGACTACAGATTAGGCAACAAAAGCTCTAAACCTTTTCAGAGCTCACCCTCTCCAAAGGTCAGTCAACCTAATAGTAGGCAAGGCCCTTGGGGGAAAAGTTTTGGCAGCATTCGTGTCCTTGAGCCCAAGTTACAGTGAACTTAGGACACGAGGCAGTGGACCAGAGACCCCCACCATAGCAAACCTCTCTAGGGAGGACTCTCCCCACTGTTGCTACTGGAATCCTGCTTTTTTTTTTTTTTTTGAGACTGAGTTTTGCTCTTATTGCCCAGGCTACAGTACAACGGCACGATCTCAGCTCACCGCAACGTCTGCCTCCCAGGTTCAAGCAATTCTCCTGCCTCACCCTCCCGAGTAGCTGGGATTACAGGCATGCACCACCACACCTGGCTAATTTTATATTGTTAGTAGAGATGGGGTTTCACCATGTTGGTCAGGCTGGTCTCAAACTCCTGACCTCAGGTGATCCTTCTGCCTCGGCATCCCAAAGTGCTCGGATTACAGGTGTGAGCCACCGCGACTGGCTAATTTTGTATTTTTAGTACAGACGGGATTTCTCCACATTGGTCAGGCTGGTCTCGAACTCCCGACCTCAAGTGATCCATCTGCCTCGGCCTCCCAAAGTGCTGAGATTACAGGCATGAACCACCGTGCCTGGCCAGGATCCTGCTTTTTGACTTGTTTCAAAGGTTTGATTTCATTACCAATGAAGCTGGGGAGGTGAAGCAGGAGACAGCAAAATTGGTTACATGAAACAGAGAGGCAATGAATACTTGAGATACTGGCTACGGATCTGATTCAATCAGAAGTTTATTCCAGTTAAATGGTCAGTCTCTCTTCTCTCCATCTCCCCTGAATATAATGTTGCTGATTCTAAACAGTGGCTCTCCAGTTGGTGACAATCGAAATCAGCTGGGAGCTCAAAACTCCTGACACCTAGGTCCTACCATGAAAATTCTGATGTAATTGGTCCGGGATGTGGACTAGGCAACAGAATTTTTAAAACTCCCTCAGGAGATTTTAAAGCCCACCAAGATTAGAGCCCACTATTCTAAAAAGCACTGTACCCCTTATTTAAGCTACCATTAACTCCACGGTCTTGGCCCAGTGAATTCCTGACCTGACACATTAAAAACAAACCAAAACACCATAAACCAAAGCCAGCCCCCACTTCACAGCTTCAGAGCCACAGGGAGGAAGCAACTGTATGCATGCATGAAAATACAAAAATCAGCTGAAGGGGGAAAATCATCGACTGAAAAGGAGGCTCAGGCAAGTACAGTAGGAAAAAACGCACCAAATCCCTGACCCCACGTTTTCTATATGCTTCTCTGTAGAAGTCTTGTGTGCCTGTGTGTGTGTTAAGGAAAACGGGATAGTCTCGGCAAACCTGGATTGCAATCCAGTTCCACCATTTCCTTCGTGAAATTCAAGCAATTTAACCCAAGTCTCAGTTTTCTAACTTGTAAAATGGAGTGTTAAAGCCATAATCTTCAAAACCCTCAGAGAATGAATGTTAAAGCATTTGGCACCTAGTCCTTTGTGTAGTTTCCTTTGGGCGTCTCAAACATTGGGATCAGTGGTTCCCAACCCTGGCTACTAGAATCACCTGCGTGTGCTTAAAAAACATGATGCCAGGCCAGGCACAGTGGCTCACACCCATTATCCCAGCACTTTGGGAGGCTGAGGCGGGAGGATTGCTTGAGCCCAGGAATTCGAGACCAGCCTGAGCAACATAAGACCTAATCTCCACAAAAAAATTAAAAAAAAAAATTAACCGGTCATGGTGGCACACACCTGTAGTCCCAGCTACTCGGGAGACTGCGGTGGGAGGACTGCTTGAGGCAGGGAAGGTGAGGCTTTAGTGAGCCAAGATAATACCAGTGCACTCTCCAGCCTGGGCGACAGAGCAAGACCCTGTCTCCAAAAAACAAAAACAAACTCACACACACCTGTGCTTGCCTGGGCTACACCCCAGATCAATTAATCAGTATCTCAGAGATGCGGAGGGGTGGCTGATCAGTCACTAGTGTTTAAAAAGCTCTTTGGGGGATTCGGATGTGGGACCAGGGCTTACTGCCACCTAGCTAAGGTATTTAACCAGCTTTATCTAAGAGTTGCCAGGGATGTGAGGCAAAGCATCACCTCAGGGGATTCCTACAGCAAAGAAGTTTAAGAAACACTGTATTGAGGCTTGTATAAAACCTTCCCAAACTGAGGGCATTTCTACAACTCAGAAAAGTCTGCTGTTACATTTCAACTAAACTAAGTCACATAATTGCAGCATTTTACATCCAAAATTTGCTTATAAGACAGCTACCGCCAATTGCAACTTCCATCAAATGACATTCTCTCCCTGTGTTTAATACACAAACTCTTGGTCTATTTCTCTCAATGTTCTAGTGAGAAAGATGTTTATCATCAACCCCACTTTTTTGGGGAGAAAACTAGGAATCACACCTATAAGAGCCCTCTGACTCCCAACTCCTTTGCCCCTTTCATTACACAGTCCAAATCAAGAAATCATTAGTCTAATCCCTTGCAGGGCTTGTTAAAACCGATAGATGGGCTCCACCCCAAGAATGTCTGATTCAGTAGTCTCTGACAGGGCTTGAAATTTCAGCCATTTTGAATAAGTTACCAGGTGTTGCTGCTGGTGGGACCAGAGTTTGAGAACCACTGGTTTATGCTGCCTTCTTCCCATCCGCTGGTCCTTATTTTGCACAAAATGGAGCGGACTAGTCAACGTCAGCTACAGGATAACTGACTTTTCTTCAGCAGCGTCACTGGGACTGATTTTCCCTTAAGACTGCACTTTCCAGGGACGTGACAAACAAGCAAGCAAGTAGAAAGAAGATCTGGGCCAATCTTTGGTCATCTCTACCCAGGGACAATGAGCTACTCAGGGAACAGACCCTTGAGGATCCCAAGCAGACAAACCCCACAGCTGAGAGACAGATCTTGAAACATCCTCCGCTCCTTAGGCGTGGTCACCTCTGGCCTCAATGGAAGTTACAGATAGGTACCCAGGCGCCAGCTGAGGCACTGAACTCCGTGGCGCAGGTATCCTAACCTCAGGCCCCTGGCATCTCTCCCCAGGATTCCAAGCACTGAACGCACATCAGCCTGCTGGGCTCTCTCGATTTCTTTCCCTCACTGGGCCGTGTGTTCAGACGCACCTGGGAGCCCCTTCCCCACTTCCTGGAAACTCAGCGACTCCAGCCACAACCTCCAAAACGCCAAACGCTCCGCCCCAAGGAATCCTACCTCACCTTCTCATAACCTGCCCATTCATTCTCCTTCATAATCCTCCAAATCCTCATTTTCCACCCCCAAATGTCCGTTTTCAATTGATATCTCTTTGTTCTCCTCGCAATCACCAACTCCCATCTCCAACCAGCACTCAGGACTCACTTGGAGACACCCCTTCCTCACGCACACACGTATCTACTCCGCAAGCCCAAATGTGCTTCCCGGATTCCTAACCGCCAGGGAGCCTCCCTACCACCACCCCCGCCCCTAATTCTCCACCCAAAGCCCTTCCCCCACCCCGGGCCTTTCCCCTAACCAATCCCCCAAATGCCTCTCCACTATCGTGACTGCCCCTCATCACACCCCCTCCTCTCGGTCCCTTCTTATACTCTGCTGCTGCCCAGCTCCCTCGGCCGCCCTCAACCCCTAGTCCATGGGCACCGCCCTCCCTACCATGAAAAGTCGGAGGACGCAGGAGTCTCCAAACCCGGACTGAGAGAGGCAGGAAACACCCAGCTCACGCCAGCCGGGGGCGGAGGCGGGGCCGGAGCGATAACTTCCGCTGTCCGCACCCCACTTCCGCCCCGCAGAGGGCAACGTCTTAAGCCGTCCGTTGTGCGCCTAGGGGCCAGTTTTCTTTCCAGCCTCCCCGGCCGGAGTGGGTTCCAGCTTTTCTCGGCTGGGGAGGGCATTTATCCCACCTCCGCTATTTCAGCTGCCAGAGGGGAGGCAAGGTGTGGGGAAGTTTTCCTTCCCGGGCGAAGAAGCTCTGCGGAACTGTCATTTTCCGGAACTGGATGCTTGCTTCCTGGCGGGGTTCTGAAAGCGAACACCGCGGGGCAAGATGGCGGTAGTGCGTCGGCTGCTGCCCCGGGTCTGGCAGAACTCGGGTGTTTTGGGCTGAGACAGTGGCAGCTGCGGCCCCGACCCCAAGTGCGGGGACCTCCGGCGAATAAAGGTCGGCCTGCGGGTAGGCCGGTAGGGCCTGCGGTCCGGCCTGCGGGAGAACTGGGTCGTCAGTCCTCCGAGTGGTGGGGCTGGGGACTTTGAGGGAGTTGGCTCTAGGGCACAGTCCCTGCCTGGCCAGGTCGGAGGAACAAGTGCTGGGATCTGGCGTGTGTGCTCCAGGGGCTCTTTCCGCGGCCCTTTCCACCTCTTTTCACTTTGGGGACGGTAGGCCTTTATAAACGGACTAATGCTGGGTGATTTGTTCCTGTGGTTGTTGATGCCGAGGAAAGACTCTGGGCCCCAGGACTCACCTAAACTGGAGTTCGAATACTGTTCGCTCGCTGTGTGACCTTGGGTGAGTTCCCTCACCTCTCTGAGCCTCAGTTTCCTTCTGTGTAAATGGAGTAATTAGCAGGTTTCACAGAGGGTGTGAATACGTTTTAGTACCGTGCCTGACACCTAGTTCTGAATAAAGAAAAACTTGATCGTAATTTAACTCCAGCTTAGCCCCCACAGGCAATCTTGCACTCTCAACTTCTCTTTGCTTGGCCATTCTGTGAACGGGGGAGCCCTGGATCTTGTTTGTTTTACTTAGTGATAAATAACTGTTTTGGATATACATGGATTCAGATTCAAAAGCATCCACCTTAGATAGGCTGTAGCTTTCAATAAATAGTAGCTGTTAATATGAATAGTCTCTTTAAGTCGTGTTTCCTATTCTTTAAATAAAAATTAGATTATTGAGGCTGGCCACGGTGGCTCACGCCTGTAATCCTAGCACTTTGGGAGGCCGAGGCGGGCGGATCACCTGAGGTCAGAAGTTCAAGACCAGCGTGGCCAACATGGTGAAACCGCATCTCTACTAAAAATACAAAAATTAGCCGGGCGTGGTGGCGGGCGCCTTTAATCCCAGCGACTTGGGAGGCTGAAGCAGGAGAATCACTTGAACCTGGGAGGCGGAGGTTGCAGTGAGCAGAGTTCGCGCCGCTGCACTCCAGCCTGGGCAACAAAGTGAGACTCCGTCTCAAAAAAACAAAGATTATCGAGAACTGATAGAGCTGTTGAAAAGACAAGTTGGTTAAATAATCTGTGCAGTGTCTGATACACCGTCTGCCCAGAACAAGTGGTGGTGGTCATTAAACCTGGTGGCCCAGCTTTTCCTACTGCACAGGGACAATCCTCTTGGCTTAGTCAGCAGTTGGTATTTATGATGCTTCAGCTTTGGAAATATAGAGGTAAGACAAGAGTCTGAATCCTGCCTCTTAGTTATTACAGCCTTGACTCTGCCACATACTAATGGTCTAGACTGGAGTAGATGAGATCATGAATGATCTTCTCATAGGACTCCTCTCCTTATTAGATGAGATCACTTATAAAGGACTTGACACATAATGGGCACTCATTTACTTTTTTAAATGATCTTGGTTATCACCAACCTCTTATTTTCTAATCTTTCTACCTATATGATTCTTGTTTCCCTAACTAGATTGCAAGCTTCTTAAGGACAATACAATAAAGCTCACTTACATGCTACATGCTTTTAGATATCCTATATTAATATTTTCCCATTTAATCCTAATCACAATGTTGTGATGACTAAATTGAGGTACAAGAAGGATAAATGTTGCATTTAATCCTTTCAGCAACCCTAGGACATAGACACTATTATTACCCTCGATTTACACATAAGGAAACTGAGGCCTAGAGAGGATAAGTAACTTGGCCAAATGTCGGATAGAAGGAGTACTAAAAAGAACCAAGGCCCGCTTTCTCTGATGCAAGACTTTTTCTGCTGCGCACAGCCTTTTCTTTGGTTCTCCATGGCATTTAGCAAAATAAGTACTTAATAAACACTTGATTGTGTGTTTTATTAATTGACGAACTATAGTATACACTGTGCAGGTGGAGAAGGTATATAGGAAAGGATGAGAAAAACTGTAAAGTGTAGGCTATTATATGATATGAACAGAAATCAACCAATAACATTGCTGAAGGGATAATAATCTCAAGGAAGGGGATAAGAGTAATTTCTTATTCTGGGAGGGCCCCTGGGAGAAGTGAAAGTTTTAAGATCGTCTTACAGTGCTTAGGTACAGTTTGCATGCAACTTTGTTTTTCTTTTGGGAAGAGGCTCCCTCTTCCCCTTCTAATTCCATGGACCCTCTGCCATTGAGGCACTGTCTGCATGTCATGGAGGGAGCATATCATTGTGCTTGTGGCTTGGGCCCTGCTCTTTTGCAGTCCTGAGGAGCTTGAATCTGTTACTCACTCTAAACAACAGGGCCAGGAGTTCATAGCCCAAGGGACAGGACTGGTGAATCTTAGTGCATTTAAGATAGGAAAAAAGTTAATGGGTGAGAAATGTCAGACTGCCAGCATTATTTCCTACCCAGAGAACCTTAGTAACTGTCCAGGTGGGAGCCTCTGCTGAAGAGTTTTTTTTTTTTTTTAATCCTTGTGTCTATAAAAATAATACACCAGTTAGACTTCCTGACTATACACTCTACAATGTGCACTCAAGTACCTCCATAGGTACCTGATAAGCATCATCACATTTAGTCCTCATTATCAACCTCTAAGCCAATTAATAGATGAAGATGGAAAGACTCAGGGCCCAGTGTGGTGGCTCATACCTGTAATCCTAACATTTTGGGAGGCCAAGGCAGGAGGATCTCTTGAGCCCAGGAGTTTGAGACCACCAACCTGGGCAATATAGCGAGACCCCACCTCTACAAAAAATTTAAAAACTAGCCAGATGTGGTGGTATGTACCTGTGGTCCCAGCTACTTGAGAAGCTGAGGTGGGAGAATCGCTTGAGCCTGGGAGGTAGAAGCTGCAATGAACCATGATTGCACCACTGCACTCCAGCTTGGATGACAGAGCGAGACCCTGCCTTAAAAAAAAAAAAAAGACTTAGACATTCTCCCTATAGTATGTGGCAGAGCTAGGGACTGGCTCCAACTCTGTGTGACTCCCAAAGCCCGTGTGCCCCTCACTGTGCAGTGCTGCTTCACCATGTGCATGCTGTGGAAAATTTAGAAAATACAGACCAATTAAGAAAAATTTCCCGCAATTTCAGTACCTCAAAACAGCCACTGGTAACATGTTGGTATAGTTCATGCTAGTTTTGTATCTGTGTGTGTGTACATTTTTCTTTAGGTAATTGGGGTCTTATTGGTCCACAGGCAGCCCTTTATTCACTTCTAAGGCATAAACGTTTTTCCATTATCATTAAAAATGTCAAACACGCTGAGGCAGGAGAATGGCATGAACCCGGGAGGCGGAGCTTGCAGTGAGCCAATATCGCGCCACTGCACTCCAGCCTGGGCGACAGAGCAAGACTCCGTCTCAAAAAAAAAAAAAAAAATGTCAAACATGGCCGGGCACAGTGGCTCACACCTGTAACCCCAACTGAGATAGGGTATGGTGGCACACACCTGTAATCCCAGCTACTTGGGAGGCTGAAGCAGGAGAATCGCTTGAACCTGGGAGCAGAAGTTATAGTGAGCTGAAATTATGCCGCTGCACTCCAACCTCAGCGACAGAGTGAGACTATCTCAAAAAAAAAAAAAAGGAAAATGTCAAATATAATTTTCAGTAGCTCTTTAACATTCCATGACCTCTAAGTTATTTTGCTTCCCATCACAGCTGTAATTCAACAACAACTTTGGGATTTATTTTCAACATATTCCCTTTAAACTGTGAGGATTGAAGAGATACAGTATAACATTTAGATGAGACATTAAATAAAGAGGACCCAGTGGTGTTTTTAAAAAACCATTGGCATTGTAGTTACTACTTTTACTCAGTGAGGAAGATGTATGATACCACACCTATAAAATTTAACCCTAAGTCTGGATTTTTTTCTTCTGCTTCTGCCAGAAAAAATAACAAGCTTTTCTGAAGTGAGAAGCTGTTCTCAGCCACGAGTCCTGTGCAAGATCACTAATGATTACCTGGCATTTCTGCGACACAGGCAGGTCCTCAGGTGAGATCTCCAGACTTTACTGCTGGGGCAGGAAGCGTAAATGATTCAGAAGATGGCTACCGTTTCTCTCCAAGCCTTTTATAAGTTGGTGCAAAAGTAATTACGACTTAGTGTTTTTTTAAAAAAGTTGAAACCCACAATTACTTTTGTACCAACCTAATACCTTCCCTCCTGTGGTCAAGTGGGCTCTGTTAGTTTGTTTCAAGGATTACTGATGATGTTTGACAGATCACTGTTGAGAAGGGGTCACAGAGGTCCCTTGATATGTTCATGTGGTGGGAGGCTTGCACCAACTTTTTTTTGGTTATAAAAGGGTATTATTTTATTGTCCTTATTAATACTAATAATAGAGCACACTTATTAAATGCCTTTCAATAACACGTAATTAATTTAATACCTCTAGGAGATAATACTATTAAGTCCAATGTTTATTTTAATAATTTTTAAATTTCTTTGTATGGATGTAGGGGGTACAGGTTTCTTATATGCATATATTGTGTAATGGTGGAGTCTGGGCTTTTAGGGCACCCATCACCCGAATGGTGAACATTGTACCAATAAATAATTGTTCAATCCTTACCCCTGTCCCATCTCCCACCTTTTGGAGTCTCCATTATCTTATTCCACTCTGTTTGTCCATGTGGGCCCATTGTTTTGCTCCCACTTCTAAGTGAGGTCATGCAGTATTTGCCTTTCAGTTTCAGAGTTATTTCACTTAGGATAGATGGCCCCTAGTTCTAGCCATCCGACTTTTTACTCTGGATGATATTTTCATGTGGGTGCTACTTCAAGTAAAGTAGCCTGGTAGAGAGATTGTTTTCTGGAAGTCTGGATTTCTGAATAATTCATTTCAGTGTTTTTAACTGGGCTGATTGTGCATTTTGTATAGAATGGCAATGTCATCAAGCATCTAAAGAAATCATCTCAATATGGGAGCCTCCGGGGGTCAGTGCTGTGTGCTTTAGGCTGCTAGCAAAAGCTGTTCCTTTAGGAAAAAACAGTTACTGGTGATTTAGATAAAAACTTAGTATATAATTTAGAGCTGCTCTTCAGAAAAGCACCCGTTAGTGGACAGGACCAGTTCTACAGTAAAGTCTTCACTGGTCCTTGGCAGGATGGTAATTGTAAGGACAATGGAATAAGCTATACATAAAACCAAATATCTTCAATATAATGGACTGTCTTGCATTCTGAAGTGTGTACCTTTTGCTTTGTTAATGTTGAAATGGCCCTTTCTTTTTTGTGTGCTGTCACAAAGTATGCACTGGTAAATATTTGTTTAGTGAATGGATGAATACAATGATGATGACAGCAAATAATCATGTTGGATTTTTCTCTCGAGTCCTTACTTGGCAAAATAAAAGCTGACCTCTCAGTTTTGGTTTCCCAAATACTGTGGACTACTCCAGAAAATTCAAATATCTGGGAATCTTTGACCTATAGGATACCTGGTTTGAATTAGAGCTTTATGGGTGGGACTGATTCATTCTTTGTTCATTCGTAAAGCTGGGCCTGCCCTTATCCTATGCCAGGTGCTGTGCTCTTTCCCTTAAGAAGATGTGATTATTTAATATAGGATGTAGCATCCCTGGTCTTGGTGAGTTGCATGAAAGAGCCTATAGGAGGTAGGGACTTGTGCCGGAGAGCTGTTAGCGCTTTGGAGGGTGTTGACAGGTCCTGAGTATCTCTGCTGCCCAGGTCCCTGCCCACCCTCTGCTCTTGAGCCCCTTTCTGTGTGTGTTTTTCACACAACAATCTACAACACCCACTTGCCCATTTTCCTTGCAGGGTTTGTGCAAGTTTGCAAACATGTTCACCCTGTCTCAGACCTCGAGAGCATGGTTCATCGATAGAGCCCGTCAGGCACGAGAAGAAAGGCTTGTGCAGAAGGAACGGGAGCGGGCAGCTGTTGTGATCCAGGCCCATGTCCGGAGTTTTCTCTGTCGGAGTCGACTGCAGAGAGATATCAGGTAAGGGCTAGGATCTCCCTAGCACATGATTCTCTGGCTCCCAATTAATAGCAGATAAATGAGTTTTTTCTCATAAAGTGCTTGAAAAGCCTTCCAGGTGCTACAAGCTGTTAATTTAAAATGTCTTTTTTTGCACTTTCTTTTCTAGGAGAGAGATTGATGACTTTTTTAAAGCAGATGACCCTGAGTCCACTAAAAGAAGTGCACTTTGTATTTTCAAGATTGCCAGGAAACTGCTGTTCCTATTCAGAATCAAAGAGGATAATGAGGTAAAACGATAATAGCAAACATGTATAATACTTCCATATGTCAGATCTTTTATAATTATTGATATTAACTCAGTTCTTATAGCAGCTTTATGAGGTAATTACTGTCACCCTCACATCCTGTCCCTTTTGTTTTCTTGGGACCTGTTTTGGAGGGATTATGCCCAGTGCTTTTAGGAATCTTTTCACATTGACCATTATAAGCACAAGTTGAACTCAGATGCATGCAAGAGTCAGGAAGTTTAGGTAAATGAGTAAAAAAAACATATATGAGATAAAACATAATACAAAATACAAATCATATTAAACGGTAACTGACAGGCAGCAGTGGTAAGGACATCAAAAGGAGTAGCAGGGTCTGTGGCCTGCCCCATCCACGGGGAGCAGCTACTACACACCTCGGTGGTGGACTCATACTCTGATTTTTTTTTGAGATGAAGTCTCTCTCTGTCGCCAGGCTGGTGTGCAGTGGCGCAGTCTTGGCTCACTGCCAGTCTTCACCTCCCGGGTTCAAGCAGTTCTCCGGCCTCAGCCTCCCTAGTATCTGGAACTATAGGCTCGTGCCACCACGCCCAGCTAATTTTTGTATTTTTAGTAGAGATGGGGTTTCACCATGTTGGCCAGGATAGTCTCGATCTCTTAGCCTTGTGATCTGCCCGCCTCAGCCTCCCAGAGTGCTGGGATTACAGGCGTGAGCCACTGTACCCAGCCTCTGATTTTTTTTTTTTTTTTTTAAAGAGATGCCAAAGATCTGAGTTTTTATGCTCAATGTTCGTTCATTCATTCTTTCATATTCTGAGACAGGGTCTCACTGTCGCCCAGGCTGGAGTGCAGTAGCACTATCACAGCTCACTATAGTCTTGACCTCCCAAGTCTCAAACGATTCTTCTGCCTCAGCCTCCTCAGTAGCTGGGACTGCAGGTGTGTGCCACCATGCACAGCAAGTTTTTGTATTTTTTGTAGAGATAGGGTTTTACCTTATTGCCCAGGCTTGTCTCAAACTCCTGGGCTCAAGTGATCCACCTGCCTCAGCATCCCAAAGTGCTGGGATTACAGGCGTGAGCTACCATCAATGTTCTAATTTGTAAATCTTGGCAATTAATTTGAAATTTTTTAAATATCCTGCAAATCATACAAAAGGTGCCAGTTTGCACCTTAGGGATTAGAATGATCAGCCTGAAAAGTGTAATCCCAGAAAAGCAGCTAGTTATCTGTAATAGTACTAACAATGCCACTGAGGCATGTCTCCAAGTTACCAGCTGTTAGGCTGTTAGGCATTCCTATTGCTAAGCTTCACATTGTGCCAACCCTCTCTAGGCACTGGGCCCTTGGGAGGAAACAGGACGGGCAAGATCTCTACGCTCATGGAGCTCATAGCCCAGCAAGAGAGGGAGGACTATGCAGGCAGTGAACACATGATTACGTAGATGAGGACAGATAAGCTGGAGGAGGTGAACCTCATCTTACAGAGAAGGAAACTGCAGCTCAGGGTGGTAGGGCAGCTTGCCCAATATCACATGGTTTAAGGGCGGATCCAGGATTGGTATAGCCAAAATGGAACCTGTTTTCTAGTTTCCACTTTTCTTCCTTTTGCATTACAGGATAAAAGTGATGATACAGCAGCCTTTGGCTACTGGCTGTGAGGCAAAAGTCAGTATCCATGGTGCTTAAGAAAAGGTAAACTGGAGAGCACAGTTGAGGAGACAGCAGCAGGCCTGCAGGAATCCAAATCCAGTTTGCCAGATTGATACTGTTTTTTGAAAGAAGCCTCAATTTGGGTTTTTATGTGAAGTATACCAGTTTCTAAAACATTTCTATAGGGTTCCTCCAGCTCTTGGGCCACCAGTTGGAGAACCCTTTAGTCTTTATGATCTTCAGTGTCCTCATCTGTAGGAAGGAACTGCATGTGATTATGTGTGAATCACCTGGCATAATACCTGCACGTGCCAGGTACCCGCTGAAGGCTTGTTTTCTTTGTTTTCACTTTTTGATGGATTGTGGGAATGTATAACCCCCAGTGTGTCTCTTTGCAGAGATTTGAGAAGTTGTGTCGCAGCATCCTGAGCAGCATGGATGCTGAGAATGAGCCTAAGGTAAGTGGACGGGAGCCGCAGTGTCTCCCACAAGCTCTTAAGGGCCAACCTACTGGGCTCTGAAAGTTCCTGTTGAATATTAGGACCAATTCACACACAAATGCAAATAAGTAGTGGATGGAAAACATTACCAAAGTACAAATGATTCCTTAGTTTCTTCATGATCCAGGTAGCTACGTTCTGCTCTTGCCACAACACAGGATAGTAAATTTTCTTACTAGGCTATTTTGTCTTTGCGTTTAGTGTTAAAATAAGTCCTGTTTACAGCTTATTTGTCCATTCAGGTCCACTGCTTTATCTGGCACTGGACCTAACTAATAGGTCCAGTTCCAACAGTTAGAGCACAAGTGATATGATCTCTATAACAGCCCATGACATTCCTCTTTTTCCCACCTATAGGTGTGGTATGTGTCCCTGGCTTGTTCTAAGGACCTCACCCTCCTTTGGATTCAACAGATCAAGAACATTTTGTGGTACTGCTGTGATTTTCTCAAGCAGCTCAAGGTAACAAAAAAAAAAAAAAAAAAAAAAAGCAAAACCAGAAACAGTACGTATGTCATTTTCACCTGTAGACTTTAGTCTGTATTTTCAGAGTCACTATCAACGAGAGTTGCTAGTTGAGCCACTGTTCTGGAAGAGAGGAATTTTGATTCTGTTATCAATATGAGCCCTCCTTTGGTGTGTGTTGGACCCTTAAACTGCTTGCCACGCCACAGCCTCCATGGCAGGGAATCTGTCACTTTCCTTCCCATTCATTTAATGTAATCAGTACTTTATGATCTACATTATTATACTAGTCAGGCCTCTTGTTAAAAGTACAGAAGCCGAACGTGAGCACAGCTAGTATCACGTACCAGTTAAGCAAGGAAGAGAACGTTGTGCTCTAGAATATATTCAGTAACGTGGCAGCTAGAGTAAGGAGAGCTAGGGGGTTCTGATTCTCCCTCTCATTCTTTTCTCTCATCCCTGCTCCCTTTTGGGGTCACCTCGTCCTTTCCTGCTGTAATCATGGCAACGAGCAGTTTTGACTTTATATTCTTACTCTGTCTTGACTAAAGGGAGGAGAGGCCTCCCGACCAGTTCAAAAATCCAGGTTTCTTGTAGGTCCAGTGAATCCTGGGTTCATCTCTGAACCAGTCACAGTGGCAAGAGGAATGGGGTACTGCCACTAGCCCAGCCTGGTCCTGTGTTCCCCTACCCCCTTCAGTGTTCTGAAAAGGATGGACAGGGGTGTGAGCAGACATACACAGGAGCCACTTCCACTTTGCTTATAAGGATAGAGAGGTCTCAGGGACAGAGGCTTGGCAAGGACACAGATAGCAGCTCAGTAATGGAACGAAAGTCCCCAGACCGCCCCCAACCCCAGTAATAATCCATTCCCAGCCATCCCTCTTTGGCTGCTCAGGAATGGCTCTTGCCATGCCTGGCTTGTCAGGTGAGACATGGCTCAGCGCAGGGTTTCCACACTATGTTCCTCGGAGCCCTGGGAGTCCACCAGAATGCCTTAGGGCCAAGTGAGCAGGGTATTTCCCTACCTGCACGCGAGCCAGGCAGATCCTTGTTTATCTGCTCTCTATGTGTACATTCCACAACAGATTGCTCTTTGAGGAGAAGCTCTTCTATTTTGGACAAACAAAAAAAGTTTATGCAAAGAAACAGACGTCAGGAGAAAAAGGGCCCTGACTCTGGAGCCAGGAATATGTGAAATTCAGTCCTGATTCTGCTGTTCATTTCCCACGTGGCCTTGAACAAGCTGCTTCCCCTCTCTTACTGTCGATGAGCTTTGAGGTTTGAACTCAGTGGTCTCCAAGGTTGTCTCCAAGGTCCCTTCCAGGTGGACCTGCTATAGGGTCTGTGGGCCTAGAAAGCAGTCAGGCCTTTTGCTTGACTTACACTTGGTGAAACAATGAACTGTCATCAAAATTAGAACAGCAGCCAACATTACATGGAGTTATCTATGTGCCAGACACTGTTCTTAGTGCATCATACGCATTAATCCATTTATTTCTCACAACAACCCTATGAGGAAAGCAGTGTTACTATTTCTGGTCAACAGATGAGGAAACCGAGGCACAGAAAGGTTAAGAAACTTGCCTAAGCTCACACAGCTAGTAAGTGGTGAAGTCAGAAGGCTGAGCCCAGAGTCCTAGTCATGCTCAATTGCATTTCTGCTCTGTTGCTGCAGAGTTCAGACAGACAGGCAGGCACATGTACATACAGCAAGCCAGCCCTGGTCATCTTGTTTTCTAGGGATTCTCAATTCTCCATTCCCAAGAATAATGGAATCCCATGATTCCATTATCAGGCACTAGAGTGCCACATTCCCTGTTATTTAACTCCTGGAGTGGTCATTGCCCAAGAGAAAAAGAATTAAGACTGACTTATAATCCTGACTCAGTGATTCCAGGCTGAGTGCCCATAGAGCAGTTGTAAAGTGAACACTTCACTGTCTGGAATCAGAAGACGTGTGTCTTAATCTTGCTGTGTTTATTGTTTCCAGCCTGAAATCCTGCAGGACTCCCGACTCATCACCCTGTACCTCACGATGCTTGTCACCTTCACAGACACTTCAACGTGGAAAATTCTTCGGGGAAAAGGTCTGTGGGACTTGCTTCAAAATGTTCTCTAACCAACATTTCCATAGAGAGCTCAGGGACCTTTTTTCCTTTGTAAGAAGCATTTTTGCCACAAGCCTCAGGGAAGGCCCTGAGACCATACAAATGAGGATGCCCTTGGTGCTGACCATCAGACTGCATCGCAGTATCCACAATCCATTCAGCATTGTGTGTTGTACTCAACCCTTCTTTGAATTTACATTTAAAGTCATGGTTCTTCTGATTTTAATTTTTATAGTTCCCACAGTGCCTTAGCCTCCAAGTGATTACATTCACTTAAGCCTTGTCATTTTACTTGGAAAATCATTAGGTTGTGAATAATTCTATTTTGCCCATAAAATTTGCATTATAAACTTCTTCCTTCCCTGGTAAGTGTCGTTAGTGCCGTGTGTTTCATATGGTCATTTCATTCATCTGTTCAACAAGTAGCCCATACATGCCAGATGCCTCTAGGCGCTGAAGACAGATAAGCAAAACAGAAAGGGGCATTGCCCTCCAGGGACTTTAGGTGCTCCCTTCCTCACAGAACTTAAAGTCCGATGAGGAAAACAGGCATTAAATAGATGTCGCTCATAGATATAAAATGACAATAATGTGGTAAGTGCTTGGAAGGAAGCATGCAAGAGAAATGAGAGTGTCCAGTAGGGTGGGGAGGCCTTGCTTGGTCTGGGTCTCTAGCTTTCCTGAAGAAGTGGTGTGTGAGCTGAGAGCTGCAGAGGGAGCTAGGATTCACAGAGTGAAGAGCGGGGATGAAACGGAAAGCAGGGAAAGCTGTATGCAAGGCTCCAGGTCAGCAAGGAGGGCTTATTTCAGGCATGACCCTGGCCTCTTGGGGGGAACCCAAAAATTGTTCAGTTCTGGGCCCTGCTGGGAAGCTCATGTCCCATTGAGGAGAGTAGGCATCCCCCTGGCGAAGGCAGTGCTAGGCCCTAGGAGGGAATTAGAAAAGGTGCTACAGGCGCTCAGAGGCCAGAGACGTCACTTCTGGCTAGGGGTGTGAGAGGACCCATCACTCAAGAGGTGACACTTGAGCCAGGCCTACCAGGAGAGAGAGAGTTCCAGGTACGCATTGCCTTTCTGTGCTCTGGCACCAGGCCTAAGGGAAAAGGGAGGCAAGCCAGGGGGTATCTCATTTCTTAGGGCCTCGGATGTGGGACACAATTTCCTGTCCCACATAAACAGGTCACATTATGGCAAGAGACTTTTTTGTTCTCACTGTTTTCTTTCTTTAGGTGAAAGTCTTCGACCAGCGATGAACCACATTTGTGCAAATATAATGGGACATCTCAACCAGCATGGATTTTATTCTGTGCTGCAGGTCTGTGACTCCTGCCCCCCAGTGTGCAACTTCTCCACTCTCCAACACCTGCACTTGGATTTTTACATTTGCATTCAGCATACCTGGTGTCCTCCTCAGAAACACTTTTCATAGGAAGAGCTTGATGCCTGCTGTCCTCTTCTTCCTTCCCCTGCCTTGTCTCACTTGTGGGTCAGGTAAAGGGAGGACAGTGGTGCTGGGATCCCTTGAATGCTCTACATTTTTGGCTGCAAGGGTAATCCAGTCTTTTGACATTTAAACTCTGGAAGGAGACCTCAGGGCTTGTTCCCTCAGATTCCTTCTTGGTTGATGTCTAGAATCATATTTCTAGCTCTGTGTCCTCAAACAGCCCTTTCCACTTTGTACCTTGTTGTGCCAGATCATACCTCTAGGGAATTGTTGAGAAAGCCTGATTGCTGTTTAAAGGTACAATGGAAGTCTTGAGTTTGAGAAGTAATGTTGACTTTGCCCTTCCTTCTCCCTAGTGCTGTGATGGGCTGTTTCCTGATTTGGTTTCATATGCTCCTCACAACAACCCTGTGAGGTGGTCCGTTGGCAGAAGCTGGTATGACTGGCAGTTGTCTCGCTAGAGGAACCTTCTACTTCATACCATAATTAAACGGCTTCTAAAATAATATGATGTCTTTAAATTTTAAGTCTGGCATTATTTGTATTAGCTGTTTTTTTAACTTTATTATTAAAGAATTTCTAACCATAATATTTAGAGAAAGAGTGGTAGAGTTAACCTCGTTACCCAATACTTTCTTCCCTTTCCTTTTATAAAAACACTGCATACGGTTTTTTGTTTTTTTGTTTTTTTGTTTTTTTTTTAAGAGACAGGGTTGCCCTGTCACCCAGGCTGGCCTCAAGGAATCTTCCTGCCTCAGCCTCCTGAGCTGGGACTGTAGGTACAAGCCACCATGCCTGGCTCACAATACAGTTTTTTTATCTGAAGCACTCAGTTTACTTTTTTGCTCTTTTATGTACAAATGAATATAAAGTTGATATCATCCTCTGACCAATTAAAACATTCTTTTCAGATATTGTTAACCCGTGGCCTGGCAAGACCCCGTCCTTGTCTATCCAAAGGCACTTTAACAGCAGCTTTTTCTCTAGCGTTACGGTGAGTAAGAAACCATAGCTGAGGTGTTGGCATGTTCTTGAATGCTTCCTCCTCTTGGTTTTTCTTTCTCTCGTTACTGGTATTAGGTATAGACTTGCCCATTTTGTCAGAATTTATGGGAAGCATTGTTCTTAATGAAAGTGAGCACATTTGTGACTGCTCAAACTTTTTCTTAATCTTCAGTCTTGAATATTTCTTAATCTTCAGCCCTGAATATTATTGCAGTGTGATCTTTGGAAACTATTCAAAATGAATTTCTTTTATCTAAAAGAGGCCAAGATGCAATCATTTTTCCTTTTGAAGTTTTAATTGACAAAACAAAAAACCTAGGAGCCAGGAGAAGCCCAGCAAAGGGCAGGGTGAGAGGATTAAGGAAATAATGTGAATACGCATGTAAAATGTTAGAATTTGGAGGACCAGAGAAGAGGTGATATTTGCCTTCACTTAGTTTGGAGATGTCAGGTACTGAAGAAGCTAAGTTAATTCCTTATGGAAATTACACCTGCAATTCTGAGAATTGCCAAATGTAAAACACTATGCTTGTTCATAGGTCCAGAACATGTTTAAACTGTCAAGGGGAACACTAGCTTGGGGAGATGTTAATAAAAGATCCTGGAAGGAAGAGTGTCATGGTGGAACCAGCTTGGTGAAAGCTGCCTGCTCTGCCCCCATCTGTGGATCTACAGTACACCTTCATGCTGAGAGCTCTGAGAAGTGCTGCTATGCTAGCAGGACCCCATGGGCTTATTTAACCCGGGGTTGGCCCAAACGTATCTGAGCATGGAATACCCCTGCCTTGTTTTTTGGATGCCGTTGATATCCCATGAAATCATTTTCCATGGAAAACCTATTTGGAAAATGATGGGCTAGAGCATGGGTTGGCCAAATTTTCTGGAAAGAGCCGGATAAATATTTCAACTCTATGGGCCATACAGCCTCTGTCACAACCACTCTGCCATTGCATCTTGAAAGCAGTCGTAGATTGTACATACACAAATGAGCATGACTGTGTTCCAGTAAAACTTTATTTACAAAAATAGGCCATAGTTTATAAACACCTGGTCTAGACTGTGCTTTCCACTAACCACTAGCCACAGGGGGCTGTTTAAATGAAAATTCATTTAAGTTAAATAAAATGAAGAATTCACTTCCTCAGTTGCATTAGCCACATTTCAAATGCTCAGCGGCCACATGTAACTAGTAGCAATTGTGTGGGACAGCACAGATATAGAAAACTTCCAGCATCACAGAAAGTTCTGTTGGACAAGGCTGACCTAGAGCAGGTCTGTCCGATGGAAACACAGTTAGAGCCACATTTAAAAAGCCAAAAGAGGCCAGGCACGGCGGCCCATGCCTGTAATCCCAGCACTTTGGGAGACTGAGGTGGGCAGATCATTTTGAGCTCAGGAGTTCAAGACCAGTCTGGGCAACATGGCCAAACCTTGTCTCTACAAAAAATACAAACATTAGCTGGGCATGGTGCCATGTGCCTGTGGTTCCAGCTACTCAGGAGTCTGAGGTGGGAGGATCACTGGAGCCAGGGAAGTCAAGGCTGCAGCGAGCCGTGATTGAGCTTCTCCAGCCTGGATGACAGAGTGATACCTGGTCTCAAAAAAAAAAAAAAAAGTCAAAATAAAAGGGAAATTTAGTATAATGATATGTTTTTATTTAAACTAATATATCCAAAATGTTATTTTTACATGTAATCAATATTTTTAAATTATTTTAATTAAAATTAAATGTGTTACATTTTTCTCTTCATGCCAAGTCTTCAAAACTGGTATGTACTTAGAGCACATCTGAATTTGGACCAGCCGCATTTTTAAGTGCTCAGTAGCCACATATAGCCAGTGGCTACCATATTAGACCACATGCCTCTAGAGGCTAGACCCTCACACAGAAGAACAGGATGTAACCGGTTATGCTATCATTAGTTATGGAAGTATAACTATTTATCTAATAAACAATTGTGCCTTCATTTCATACTTCTAGGGAAGTTATGTGAGTTGTATTTAATGAGCCCTAATGTCTAGGTACAAACAGGTTTTCCCAGAAGCCTAAGAAACAGATTCACTGCAACTGTCCCTACCCAAGTCACCTTGTGGGGCAGCTCATTCCAGCAGCATTGCCCACTGTCCTCTGGCAGACACAGTGAAGGTCAGCACACTGAGGCCTGAACTTTCAAGCTCAGGAGCAGCTCTGCCTCCCCCTCCACCTCCAGAGACACAAGCTCTAGGAGCACCTCACCTTTCTTACCTGTCCAGCATCCCTCCCCTGTCCTGGTGTGGTTGTAATTCACATATGATTCACCAACATGCTCACATCCAGTCATTCTACCACACTTAAATTCTCCTTTAAGAATATAACCAGCAGTCATCCTTGTAGTTTTTCTTCTCTGTATGTATTAGATTCCATTGAATCACTTGTTAAGGCCAGGCTACTCTAAAGCCTTTTTCCCAAATAGAACTTTTCCCCTCTGAATGTTTGTATATAATTGAACACAATCAGGACCTTTTAAAGTAAGATATCAGTGGTTTCATCATATAGGAATATAGTGAAAGTCTATAAAATCGTCAGTGGTGTGCCAAGATGTGATCACTAAATCCTGAAATATGAATAGCTAACATTCATGGGCCACACATTGTTCTAAAACTTTTACACGTATTAACTGACTCCTCACCACATTCTCTTATCTCCGTTTTATTTATTTATTTGTGAGACAAGGTCGTGCTTTGCCATCAAGGGTGGAGTGCAGTGGCATGATCAGAGCTCACTGCAGCCTCAAACTCCCGGGCTCAAGCCATCCTCCCACCTCAGCCTTCCATGTAGCTAGGACTACAGGCACATGCCCAGCTAATTTTTTTATTTTTAAAATTTTTGTAGAGACAGGGTCTCACTATATTGCCCAGGCTGGTCTCAAACTCCTGGCCTCAAGCGATCCTCATGCCTCAGCCTCTCAAAAAGTGCTGGAATTATAGGAGTGAGCCACCACACCTGGCTTTTCTCCATTTTATAGATAAGGAAGCTAAGGCCCAGAGAAGTTAAACTGTTTGCTCTTGGTCACACAGCAGGGAGTGGCCAGGCCAGAAATTAAACCCAGGCTATTTAACTCCAGAACTCATACTCTTTCTTCTTATTCTTTGTACTTGCCTCACATGTTGGACACATTTTTGTATTCTAAGAATAATATATATATTTTTTAGTAAATAGCACTTGAGAACCTTCCCAAACTTGCCCTGTTCCTCACACTGCCGTGGCATTGATTTTCTGGACGCCTAGTTTGCCCAGGCACTTAGTCATGTAACCACTAGCCGTGGCTTCTGTTTTTCCCCATATGCCTGCCCAGCTCCCTGGTTGTACTCTGAGCTCTCTGTTAGCAGGGACTGTGCATCAGTCATACCTCTTCTGTTTATCCTTCTCCTCAACCCCCCACCATGTCTGGCCCTGTTAAACAATCAAGTAAGCAGTGCACTTATAGACTTTGTCACCCAGAGGTACTTAAATGCAACAGCTACAGGTAGGCTAAAGAAAGATTCTGTTGACCTCATGCTGGGGAAATCGGTAATAAGAAATTGAGGGAGTTGTAGGAGTGTTTGCAGTGTGTGTGGTTTTTTGAGTCTGGCCTCATGCGGACTAAAAAGATCACACCCCTCCAAACATTGAGGCAGCCCTGCAGTCCTATAATGCTTCCACTGATACGTCGCTCCCAGTCAGGCAGGCAGGCCAAGTTACTTAGGGATATGGCCCAGGATGGAATCCATAGGTTTCTGTGAGAACCCCTAGAGAATGCCACAGCCCTTTGTACCCTTATAACAATGCAGTCCTTTCCTTGCAAATGCGAAGTGACTGGTTGTAGTTTTAGCAGCTTTCTCTGTGATTTGCTTTTCTTCTATTTAGGGAATTGTGCTCTTCTGTTTTAAACTTCTTTCTAACCTGCAGAAAAGAACATGGTTCTCTTTTCATGTGCCCCACTCAGATCAGAGAGGTTAGCTCAGTTGGTTAGCCTCACCTAGACAAGTGGTGAACATAGGTACTGATATTTTCAGCATTTCAGCTTCATAAAACATCCTTGTCCCAAAAATGGTACTCTTGAAAGTGAAAGTATATAGTGTGAATTCTGAGAGCCTAAATACCACTAACACCTCTGCTCATTGCTATTGGAGCACATTAGCTAGAAGAAACCTTTTTTTTCCCCTCTGTAAGTTGTTCTCATACCTTTTTTTCTGCATGACCTCTGAGTGATTTTTAAAAATAACTTTATTGAAGTCTAATTCACATCTCATACACTTTATTCATTTAAAGCATACCATTCCCTGGCATTTAGTATGTTCACAGAGTTGTGCAACCATCACCTGCTGAGACCAGCTTGGTCGGGGAGACCCTAACCCAGCGGCACTAGAGGAATTAAAGACACACACACAGAAATATAGAGGTGTGGAGTAGGAAATCAGGGGTCTCACAGCCTTCAGAGCTGAGAGCCTCGAACAGAGATTTACCCACGTATTTACTGACAGCAAGCCAGTGATAAGCATTGTTTCTATAGATTATAGATTAACTAAAAGTATTCCTTATGGGGAAACAAAGGGATGGGCCGAAATAAAGGGATGGGCTCTGGCTAGTTATCTGCAGCAGGAGCAAGTCCTTAAGGCACAGATTGCTCATGCTATTGTTTGTGGTTTAAGAACGCCTTTAAGCAGTTTTCCACCCTGGGTGGGCCAGGTGTTCCTTGCCCTCATTCCAGTAGACCTACAACCTTCTGGCCGTGGGCATCACGGCCATCACGAACATGTCACAATGCTGCAGAGATTTTGTTTATGGCCAGTTTTGGGGCCAGTTTATGGCCAGATTTTGGGGGCCTATTCCCAAAAATCACCACAATCTAATTCCATAATATTTTATCACCCTGAAAAGAAACCTAATACCCATTAGCAGTCACTCCCTTTTCCCCTCTCCCCAGAACCCCTGGCAACAACTAATCTACTTTCTATCTCTTTGGATTTGCCTGTTGTGGACATCTCACATAAATGGAATCACATCATATGTGGTCTTTTGCTACTGGCTTTTTTCACTTTGCGTAATATAATCAGAGTTCATCCACGTTGTAGCATGGATCAGTACTTCATGCATTTTATGGCCAAATAATATTCCATTATATGGATATACCACATTTGAGTTGTTTCTACTTTTTGGCTATTATAAATAGTGCTGCTGTGAACATTTATGTACAAGTTTTTGTATAGACATATGTTTTCATTTCTCTTGGGCATATTCCTGGGAGTAGACTTCCCTGGGTCATGTGGTAACTCCATGCTTAACCTTTTGAAGAATTGCCAAATTATTTTCCAGAGTGCCTGTGCTATTTTACCTTCCCAGGAGTAGTGTTGTGTGAGGTCTCCAGTTTCTCCACATCCTTGCCAATACTTGTTATCTGTCTTTTTTATTTAGCCATCCCAGTGGCTGTACAGGGGTATCTCACTGTTGTTTTGATTTACAATTCCCTGGTAGTTAGTGATGTTGAACATCTTTTCATGTGCTTATTAACCATTTGTGTATCTTCTTTGGAGAAATGTATGTTTAGATCCTTCGTCTACTTTTTAATTGGATGTTTCATCTTTTATGAGAGTTGTGAGTTCTTTATATGCTCTAGATACAAGTCCCTTTTCAGACAAGTGATCTCCAGGTGTTTCCTTCTGTTCCATGGGTTGTCTTTTCACTTTCTTGATAGTGTCTTTTGAATCACAAAAGTTTTAAACTTTGAAGAAGCACAACTTACCTGTTTTTTTCTTTTGACTCTTGTGCTTTTAGTGTGATAACCTCAGAAATCATTGCCTAACCTGAAATCTCAAAGCTTTACTCCTGTGTTTTCTTCTAAGAATTTTATAGTTTTAGTTATAAAACTAGCATTTAGGTCTGTGGCTCATTTCATTATTTTTTATATATGGTGTGGGATAGGGACCATTATTTTATCTAATAGTATTTATCTTTTTTTGATTATGGAAGCAATACATGCTTATTGTAGAAAACCTAGATAAAGCAGAAAAACATAAAAAAGAAAAAAATTTCTCATAATTCTACAACCAGAGATACATTGTTAACTTTATCTGTCCTCAATCTTTTAAAAATGTATCTATATTTGTGTTTATATTTCGAAACATTATACAATATATATACTTATATATAGTATACATACTATAGATACACTACATGTGTATATATTGTGTATCTATAGTGTATATATAGTTTTAAATAAACTGCTTAACTGAATTATGAGTTATTGGTGAGTTACCACAGAGTGAACACACCTGGGTAAGCACCACCCAATAGAGAAATCGATTATACCAGCACTCCAAAACCCCCTTTTTTCCCTCCCTCCCCATCACAAACTCCTTCCTCTTCCATGTATATAGTTTTTCATCTTGCCTTTTTTTAAAGTTCATTGTAGCATGAGCATTCTCTCATGTCAGTAAAATTTCAAAACTGGTTTTTCATAGCTGCACAGTATGGCATCAGCAACTGGACCATCACTGACTTGTCCATTTCCCCAGTGTATGTCCCCAATTTCAGCCTTCAGTTTTCTCAGAAATCCCACGCAGAATAATTTCTAGGAATTTGAGCACGTTGGTGGGGTTGTGCTTTTGTTCTGGATGCACACGGAGACCTGTCTGAATGAGTGGATCTATCTGTGTCTAGCCCTGTGATTGCTGCACAGTTCTC
The DNA here is from genome assembly GCF_000001405.40 of Homo sapiens. Taxonomy (NCBI): domain Eukaryota; kingdom Metazoa; phylum Chordata; class Mammalia; order Primates; family Hominidae; genus Homo; species Homo sapiens. The sequence goes on from NC_000012.12 coordinate 109,497,842, forward strand.
AGACAATCTGATTCGGCCGTTCCTCATCCACATCATGTCTGTGCCTGCTCTGGTGACTCATCTCAGCACAGTGACCCCTGAGGTAAGCAGGCTCTGTGAGTTCCCCGTGAAAACCCAATTGTGTTTTTCTTTTCTTCTTAAACATTAGAAAGTAAAATGGCTTCTCTGCTTATTTCCACACCTCCCTTTAATTGTTCTTTGGGACCAGTGGCCGTGATAGACACATTTGTGTTAGTAGCCCAAAGAAGTGGGTTCTTGTCTGTCCATTTTCTTCTTGGTGTTTGCTAGCACATCCTCCATAACCACGGGTGATCTGCAAGTGATCAAGTTCACTCTCTACAGGAAACTGTTTCTGGCAGTTTCTGATTTAACGGTCTGCTATTCTTTGCAGCGCCTCACTGTTTTAGAATCCCATGACATGCTTCGTAAATTCATCATATTTTTAAGAGACCAAGATCGATGCCGTGATGTATGTGAAAGTTTAGAAGGATGCCATACGCTTTGTCTAATGGGTAAGTATCCGTGGCTGGAACTTGATTGTGTCCTGGCCATCAGGGAAAGCCCGAGTGTTTTGCCTGTCACTATTCTAGAGATTTGGTTGTTTTCTGTAACAATTGGAAGTGCTTACAATAAAAAACACGTATTTAGATAGACAGTTAAAATAGACATGTAAATAAAAATCACATGGAAAATATTCCAGCCTGGCAAACTAGTTAAGTGACTGTTAATGAACATTAGATGTCAGCCTTTAGCTTCCTGGCAGTCAAGGAGAAAGTGAAAATGTGGTGAATTGCCTGGATAATTCCCATCTCAAGAGAGAAGGGAGGGAGTAGTTAGGTGGGGCTTATATCAGAGCAGCGCCTGCTTTACCTATTTTACAGTGTTTTCATTGTAGATGGAAGAAAGGGTTTATGAATAGAAGCATTTGAGGCAGAGGCACAGAATTCTCCTTGCCTAAATTTATTTTAGATAGGAAAAGTTTTTTTTGTTTTTTTTTTTTTGAAGACAGGGTCTCACTTTGTCACCCAGGCTGGACTGCAGTGGCACAGTCATGGCTCACTGCATCCTCTACCTCCTGGGCTTAGGTGATCCTCCCACCTCAGCCTCCTGAGTAGCTGGGACTACAAGCGCACACTACCACGGCCGACTAATTTTTGTATTTTTAGTGGAGACGGGGTTTTTCACCATGTTGCCCAGTCTAGTCTCCTTGGGCTCGAACAATCCACACGCCTCAGCCTGCGAGATTACAGACTTGAGATAAAAACTTCCCTGGGGCCAAATTTCATGAGGAGTTTCTGGTGCGAATGTTCACACGAGTGACGTTGACTAACTGGTGAACGTTGAATAACAGCGACTTCCCACGACACTCAGATACTCTTCAAAGACCATTTCTTATGTTAACCCTTGATTTTTAAGCATTAATATAATATTAAAATGTAACACTAACTAAATATCACCTACCTCTGTGTGCCTAACATTTTACCTGCCACTTCATCCTCATATGGAGAGTAGGGATCATCATTCCAATCTTACAAATGAAGAAACAAGTTTGAGACATGGGTTGACGGCCACGGCTCACCTTGTCTGTGGCATAGCCAGGATTTGAAGTCAGCTTGGCCCGTTTCTTACCTTTGCACCACACAGCAGCCTCCGGCATTGACAGGTGCCCCTTATGTGGAAATTTCTTGCTGCACATGGGATGTGGCCGCCTGAGCCACAGGCAGGGAGCAGGGCCGGGAGGCACCAAAATGTTTGTCTGGGCCCATCACACTCAGCCTTCTCTCTCTGTAGGCAACCTCCTACACTTGGGCTCCCTCAGCCCCAGAGTGTTAGAGGAGGAGACAGATGGGTTCGTGAGTTTGCTCACCCAGACGCTGTGCTACTGTCGGAAGTATGTGTCTCAGAAGAAGTCCAACCTGACCCACTGGCATCCTGTCCTTGGCTGGTTCTCCCAATCTGTGGATTATGGGTGAGTCCCAGATGCAAATCACTGTCTTTCCTGCCTCTCTCCCACCATCTTCTTCTTCCTTCTTTCTTTCTTCCAGCTTGTGGTGTTTTGTTTCTTATTATAAAAATAATATGTATTCATTATATATTAATAAATTGTGAGTAAGAACAAAAGAGGATAAAAACCAGCCCATTATCCTGTAAACCAAAGATAACTTGAGTGAACATCCTGTCAGTTTTCCTATCTAGAAATACTGATCCTTTTTTACAAAATTGAAATCCTATTATTTTGTATTTTGTTCCTTCCATTCAGCTATGGACCTTATCAATGTTTTTTCTTCTTCACTGTCACTTTTTGACTAGACTGCCATATTTTGGAGATGCTAAAACAAGACAAATGATTCAAAGGGAATAGAAATCACCCAAAATCCTTTTCAAGAGGTGGAATATAAATTTTTAAAAGTGTAATTATGAACTTAAAAACATGAGAAACACTAGACTAGAAGAAGGGAGATCAAGTAAGGTGCAGCTTCATGAATTTGAAATATCTACCTGAGCTGAGATAAAGTGGTTTCTGGAGAGGAACCAGCTCTGCTGCCCCAGCTGTTTTCTTGTTCACATATCTGCTCGAGGCATGGGGTCCCTGGCAGTTACCCTTGCAGCAGAAAACTAAAGGCCTGGGGAGGAAATCCCCAAATTTTTCTTTTGTTGTACCTGAGTGACATCCCTGGGTCCTATCTAGTTAAAAAGACTCATTGCTAGGGAACAGCCTGCCCCAGCGTGACACCTCAGCCTGAGGAGGATGGGGCGGAGGTGCTGAGAGTCAGGAGGCTGTGGGAGGTAAGTGAAGGAGAGCAGCACCTCCGCAGACAGCCTGCTCTCCGCTCCACTTCCTCTTCTTGGAGGGACTTGGACGACTTGCTTTGCCTTGCTTTCCTCATCTGAAACCTGGGGATAATTTTCACCCTCCCTTTGATAGGGCTTTCTAGAAAGATTGAATGAGATAATGCATGTGAAGCACCTACCAGCAGGCAGGCCTGGCCGTACTCAGGGGTGGCGGCTATTAACAATATGATGATCAATGTGGGAACCACTAGGAGTCTCACCTCACCTTCTTGAGCAGGAAGGTGACAGCAGATTCCAGGAAGTTGAGGGATGCTGAGTGCAGTGTGGAGTCAGGCAAGGAACCCCTGGAATGCAAGGAAACACTGAGGAGGCTGCTGAGTCATCTAGATTTGGCCCCCCACCACCTGCAAGCCAGCTATGAGGAGGGAGGCAGTGCAGTGGGTACAAGATTGTTTTTGTCACCTGGGTGGTAGCAAGTGTCTTCGAGAAGAGTGTGACTCATGGAGCTTGGGGACCTGGGGAAAGCAGACAAGATGAAGAGTCAATGCCCTTGACGTACCAGCCCCTCAGCAATGATTTGTTAGTTCCACTTTTTATTTTTGTAATCTTCTTTGCCATGTTGAGTGCCAGGTCCTAGCTACAGCTCCGAGTGGAAGGCCATTAGGAACTGTGTGGGCTGGCCCTGGCCCTGCATCAGATGGAACTGACAGACCAGGTCTCCTCTGCTCTCTCCTAGCCTTAACGAGTCAATGCACTTGATCACCAAACAGCTGCAGTTCTTGTGGGGGGTGCCTCTGATCCGGATCTTCTTCTGTGACATCCTGAGCAAGAAGCTACTGGAGAGCCAGGAGCCAGCCCACGCACAGCCAGCATCCCCTCAGAATGTGCTCCCAGTGAAGAGTGAGTGACGGGAGCAGGCCCAACCCTGTAGCTCCACTTGGCTGAAGTACAGCTCCTGTTTCTTCCTATATGGATGTTCCGCTGTGTTTGTGGGATGCTCTAACTTTGTTTTTGTTGTTATCGTTCTTGTTGTTAGAGACAGAGTCTCACTGTATTGCCCAGGCTACAGTGCAGTGGCATGATCATAGCTTACTAGCCTCTAACTCCTAGGCTCAGGTGATCCTCCCACGTCAGCCTCCCAAGTATAATAGCTGGGACTACAGGCGTGTACTGCCATGCCTGGCTAATTTTTTTTTTTTTTTAATTTTTGTAGAGATGGGGGCCTTACCTTATTGCCCAGGTTTGTTTCCAATTCCTGACCTCAAGTGATCCTCCTACCTCAGCCTCCCAAAGTGCTGGGGTGACATATATGAGCCACCATACCTGGCCTCCAGCTTGTTCCACAACAATTTTGAGGCTTGTTAGGTCACTAAGTTCATATATAGCAAAACAAAAAATCCATAAGAATAGAAAACAAGGATTGGGGAAATAGAAATAGGTGAACACAATCAAGATTGGGTCATAAAAGCATGTCCACACACATATGTTACATTAGGGCCACTGTGGCTACCTGTGAACTTCAGTTTGGCTGTGAACCAACATGAAATGTTTCAGAAACCGACATGAAAAGGGGTCTGTGGATGCTTTCTTCTAATTTCTTAGAAGTAGAGCTTTTCTGAGTTCTTAAGAAAATAAATCTCCCATGTGGGACTCCTTATAAAGGAGCCACTCACTGAACCACAGGCGGGGCTAGCGCTTCAGTGGCTTTCCTATCGCAGGGTCAGTAATGGGTTCCATGGGAAGGTTCTCGTTGCACGCTCTTATTAAAAGTTATGGAAAGGCCACTAATGCATAATTTGACAGAGTTACCTGCCTGTGGTGGGTTTTCAGGTTCAGGGTGTCTGTTCTTCTACTGAGTGTGTTGCAAAACTCTGTCTCATAGCTAGCAGTAAGCGTGGGCTCAGCAAATGTGACTCCAGCAGGATATCAATGGGAAGGTTGAAAACAAAGGTAGAATATCATTCAAAACCAGGTGTCAGAACTAGAGGTTGTCACGCCTTACTTCCCTCTAAAGGCACAGAAAATAGAGATGTAGCCAGGGCCCCTGCCTTTGCCCCTCTTTCCCTAATATAGTCCTCTGAATTTTTACCATTGTGGGTTTTGAAATTTGGTGATTTCCAGTATAAGAATCCCATGTAAGATTTGAATATGCCTGGCTTATTCTGAGAAATATTTGGGTATTCTGAAGAGATCTTTGGGTTGTACCTAAAAACCTGTTGTTAATGTTTTTCTAATTTATCCCAAAGAAATGCCTTGAATTGAGTGAGTTGCCCCACTGTCTGGCCTGGCTGTGCATTTAGAGCTTTACTGAAATGCTCTTCCTTTTCCAGGGTGGGATTTGGCAGCTGGCTGAGCTGCTGCTCACATGTCTTCTTTTCTCCATGCCAGGTCTCCTAAAGCGTGCTTTTCAAAAGTCGGCATCAGTCCGGAATATTCTCAGGCCTGTCGGGGGTAAACGGGTCGACTCTGCAGAAGTCCAGAAGGTTTGCAACATCTGTGTCCTCTACCAGACCTCGCTGACAACTCTCACACAGATTCGGCTGCAGATACTCACAGGTTCGCAGTCCCCAGGGCATCTTCTTCACCTCTCACATTTGGCAGACAGTTTGTCTTAGCAAAAGTCGATGTTTTTTTCTGGCTTCTTTGACTCTGAAAATAGATTCTGAAGGAGGGCATTTTTGAGCTGTTCCTCTTAGAGATTAGTCCACCTCAGTTACATTGCTCATGCTCACCTCAATCATAAGCACTTGCATCTCATTCCTGTTTTGTGACTCTTACTTTAATTATGAAGTAGAATTTACTTTTAAAAAGTTTCTGTTTTCTGAGTAAAGAAGCAAAAAAGATAGGGTTGCAAAAAAAAAAGGAAAAAGAAAACCACTTTTAATTCCATAATCCAAAAACAGTCAACTGTGCCTGAGTGTACTGCACATATAAAATAAATATATTTAAATTGAAATATACAGCACTATGCTTTCCTTTCCAATAATCATTTTACCATGTCACAAATTCTTCGAAAACCTTATCTTTATTGGCTACATAGTATCTCATCACATGGATATGCCCAACATTTTCCTTTTTAGCTTAACATGGAGGAAAGTCCCCTCTGTGAGCACAGAATTGGGTATCACAGGCTTTTAGGTTGCAGCACAGTTGTTGTTATGAATTGGTCTTACAAGTACAAAAGGCCTTTGTAAACCGTGGAAGCCTTTTATTACATGAAGGATTAAGAGCTTCTCTGCTGCATTTTACATTTTTTAACATCATAAATCACTGCTTCTCTTTCACACTTATTTATCCATTCTTCAAATATTTATTGAGCACCCCTGTGTGCCAGGCACTGAGGATACAGAGGTGAAAGAGAGAGCCAAGTTCTTCGTTCTCAAGGGGATTGTATTCTAGTAGTGGGGAGACTGAAAATAAGCAAGTAAAAAGTAGGGCTCATGTAATGATGGGCACTGTGAGAATGAAAATGCTGAGAGATGATGTTGGCCTGGGCTACAGCAGGATTTCTCAGCCTTAGCATTATGGATGTCTTGGGCTGGCCCATTCTTTGTCATGAGGGGCTGTCTTGTGTGTTTTGGGATGTTTAGCAGCCCTGGTCCCTACTCATAGATGCCAGTAGCACCTTCCCAACCAGCGTGACAGCCAAACATATCTTCAAATTTGGCATTCAGCCAAATGCCCCCTGGGAGGCAAAATCATTCCTGGTTGAAAGCCACTGGCCTAGTTTAGTAGCAATGGAGATTAAGGCAGGAGGATTTAGATTTGTTTTAGAGGTAGAAGATATGGGTCTTACTGGTAGCTTGGATTTGGGAGCATGAGGACTGAGGGTTTTAAAGAAGATACCAGGTTGTTGGCCCAACCACCTGTGTGGATGGTAGCACTGTTTGCTGAGCTGGAGAAGACCGGGGGCAGGGCCTGTGAGGAGTCTGTTGTGTTGTGGCTGTGACAAGGGAAAGGGGCCTGCTGGGCATGCTGGCAGAGGTGACACTCTGGGAGCATCAGCTGAGGGATGGAGTGTAAAGCCATGGGCTTTCAGCCTAGGGCAGGTTTCCCAAAGATGAGCAGAGGGAGGAGAGAAGGGGCAAGACCATACCTGGGGTACCCCAGCGCCTGAGGGTTTGAGCAGCATCTTGAGTGAGAGGAGTTTGGGGTTGTGGTTTGTGTCCAGCTTTTTTTTTTTTTTTCGAGACGGAGTCTCACTCTGTCGCCCAGGCTGTAGTGCAGTAGCGCAATCTCGGCTCAACTGCAGGCTCCGCCTCCCAGGTTCACGCCATTCTCCTGCCTCAGCCTCCCGAGTAGCTGGGATTACAGGCGCCTGCCACCATGCCCGGCTAATTTTTTTTTTGTATTTTTAGTTGAGACGGGGTTTCACTGTGTTAGCCAGGATGGTCTCGATCTCCTGTGTGTCCAGCTTTTTAAATGAGCTCACATTGAAGCTCATTTTCCCAAGTGAGAGAATCCAAATACAGGTTTTTTAGTCAACTTGAAAATATACACTTTAAGGATAAAGATAAACTAGTCTAAAGTGTATGTTTGATATTCAGTCTATTTAGCAACTTAGATTATAGAAAATAACGCTTGTTTTTAAAATACTGCTGTTTTTCTACTGACAACTTAGGAAGTGTCTGTTTGTGCTCCTCACACACATCTGATAGCACTGGCACTGCTGCTGGTCTGTCTGCCATTGCTCTGCCAGGCCCAGTGTCTCCATCTCTGTCTAAATGGCTAGATATGCAGCCCTTGTTGAATCAGTGTGTGATGCTATGAGCATTCTAGTCTACGCTACATGAGTCCTTTACACAGAACTCGAGGACACTTGCTTTTCTTCTTTTATCCCATAGGAGTATATTTGTGATCTCCACAGTGTTAACTGTTTCCTCTGTTTCTATTTTAACCTATTTTTGAATTGTGAGAGTTCCACATTCTTGGGTGTGTTTGATATAACATGGACAGTTGAAAGACTAGTTATGAGTGGGGCACCTATGTCATCACCAACAGATCAAGAAAGTCTTGCTTCTAAAGGCTTCTTTATAACCACATCCTCCTACCCTTGAAAATGTGAGGTCTAAGCTCTAGGCATAATCACTAAATTGATACAATTCTTGGCCTCCTTTAGAATTCCTTCAGTTCACCCTCTAAGTATCCTTCAGTAGCTCTGATGGAGTTCCCCCAACTCCCACTGCTGGCTAATATACCTTCCCCAAACAGTTCTTTATTCAAAACTAAATAATTCAGAGAGTGCCCTATAAGATGAGAGGTATTGTAAGGGCTCGTATACAAGGTGACTGTGCTTTTCTGAGGAACACACCTTAATGTATATTCAGTGACACATGGCATTTCAGATCCAGCCTTTCTAAGTCAAGAGATGTGTTATTAGATGTAAACTATACCCGTGATGTGGCCTGTGTGTCTAAGGCCTTGTAGCCATCAGGAAACAAATTTAGAAAGTCCTCTGTGTCCCCTTTTGCTTCCTCAGGGTTCCATTTTTGTATAGTTCAGAGCATCCTACCACAGTCATTGACTGCATTTCCACTTTTAACATAATAGAATAATAGAGGTAAGTGGGGGGAAGCTTTGCCAAAGGTGGCGAGCCTGCAAGATGGTTTAAGGCAAGGGTCAGCAGACTACTGTTGGGGGGCCAAATCCAGCCCACTACTTGTTTTTGTCAATAAATTTTTACTAGAACAGACCCAAATCTGTTTTGTTTTTGTTTTTGTTTTTGTTTTTGGAGACAGAGTTTCGCTCTTGTCGCCCAGGCTAGAGTGCAGTGGTGCGATCTCGGCTCACTGCAACCTCTGCCTCCCAGGTTCAAGCGATTCTCCTGCCTCAGCCTCCTGAGCAGCTGGGATTACAGGTGCTGGCCACCACGCCCGGCTGATTTTGTATTTTTTAGTAGAGACAGTGTTTCTCATCATGTTGGCCAGGCTGGTCTCAAACTCCTGACCTCAGATGATCCACCCGCCTCAGCCTCCCAGAGTGCTGGGATTACAGGCGTGAGCCACAGCACCGGGCTGCCAAATCTGTTTCTTTACACATTGTCTGTGGCCGCTTTTGTGCTGTAGTGGTAGCACTGAGTAGTTGTAACAGTGTTAGACTAAATTTGGCCTGAGGATGCCTCCATATTTTGAGTCCTTAAGTAAGGAACTGCAGCCTAACTTAGTATGTAAACTGACTAGAAGTCTAACTTAGGACTATTCAGTATTTTTGTAACAAATAGCTGCCAATCACAGCAGCCTAGCTTCAATCAATCACAGGTGGCCATCTGATTAGACCACATTCAAATAAGGCAAAGCCGAGGTGTAACCAGTCAAGCTGTCTCTGTACCTCACTTCAGTTTTGCCCCTAAATGTTGCCTGCCCAGAATGTGGACTGGAGCTGTCTGAACCTCGTCTGGTTCTGAGGGCTGCCTGATGGATGAATTGTTTTTTGCTCAGACTTGGCTAGATTTAATTTAACAGCAGAGACCTTCTGGCCCACAGTGCCTAAAAATATTTACTCTTTGGCTGTTTCCTGAAACAAATTGCTGATCCCTGATTTAAAGCATAAATGCTAAGTCAGACCTGAGTTCTATTCCTGGCTCTGACATACAGGCTGTGTGATTTGGGGCCAATTATTTAACCTTTCTGTGCTTCAGTTTCCTCCTGTATAAGATGGGGATAACACTGGGCTTCAGAAAATGGAAAGCAAACAATACATACGGAGTGCTTAGAATGGTGCCTGGCACATAGTCAGCACCCACTGACTACTGGCTCTTATCATTGTTACTCTCGTGGTGATAATGCTTTTCTCCATAATCCCACCTTCTTTTCACGCACATTAAATGTTCATGGATAGGTTTAAGTGTTTTGTTTCCCCACTGGATAGGAGAAATAACAGACCAGGTGGAGTCTCCACCTGAAGCTTGGGTTTCTCTGTGTTTTTTCCAGGTCTCACTTACCTTGATGACCTGCTTCCCAAACTGTGGGCATTTATCTGTGAGCTCGGGCCCCACGGAGGGTTAAAGCTCTTCTTGGAATGCCTGAACAATGACACTGAAGAGTCCAAGCAACTCTTGGCCATGCTGATGCTGTTCTGTGACTGTTCGCGGCACCTCATCACGTAGGTTGACTGCTGTGGGACTGAATTCCTTTCCTAGAATATGGAGAGACCAAAATACAGTGTCAGTAAGGAAGTAATTGCTAATGTGATTACTGCAAACATTTGGACCTGTGTGGCAGGGCATTGTAAGAACTAGCCATTTACCAAGTGAGCAGTGTGCAGTAAATGTTCAGCAGTTGTTAGGGTGGGGCCTGGGAGTTAAAAGTTCCCATCCTTTCAAGGAAGCTGATCAGTACCACTGGCTGTGGCTTGGGGTCTCCTGGAGATGGGTTTAGATCATGGCTCAGCCATTTATTCACTGTGCTAGCTAGATTCCTGGAAAATTCCAAAGTCAGAGCCAGGGTGCAGATCCTTGCTAAGCAGATCTTGAGACACCCTGGGCAAGGGATCACGGATTCAACCTCTCTGAGACTCAGTTGACTCATCTGTAAATGGGAATGACAATAGCACATACCTTTTAGGCACATGGTAGGGATTAAAAGACATAATTATTGCAAAGTGCTTATCACAGTCCCTGGCACATAGGATGAGTTCAGTACTTGTTGGCTCTTATTATTATCAAGCCGACCCTGAGCAAGTTTCTTAACCTCTTTGAGTCTCTATTTCCTCATTAGAATGAAGAGAATATTACCAGTTCAATAGAGGGTAAGTGAAAAAAACAGCGTCAAATACTTAGTGCAGTGCCTGGCACAGAGTGGGAAATTAACAAACATTAGTCCCATTTAGTTCCTTTGGTTTTTAAGCTTATGCATCTTGTGTGTTTGGTATTCTTTTCATTCCACCTTTTCCCAAAAGGTTGGTGAAGAATTATAAGATACAATGGACCTCAGGCAGTTATGTTCAGGCTGGAAGACTTTAGCCGGAGAGGATCAGGGACATGTAGGTGGCAGATTGGGTGAGGATCATGGAAGAACTCACTGAGCAGTTGGAGGCAAGAGCAGGGGTCTAGCTGCTGGTGAAGACATCCTTAATCACTGGATGGGGGTAAGCCAAGAGTGAATCTTATTCTAGTGTATGGAGCAGTGTTAGGAAATGTTCAGATAGAGCTGTGTCTTAAATGGCTCATTTATTCATATGTTCTTTCAAACATTTATTCATTTACTCACAAATGCTTACTAAGTACCTGCTAAGTGTCACTAGTATGTGTCTTAGATATCGAAAAGATTCTGCAGCTTTCCTCAGTAAACATCGACTCTCAGTCAATGTTCCTTGATATGCAGACATGAATAAGGAAGGCGTGAATTGAGGTGTGAATTAAGAAAGTGTCACAGTCAGATCCTTATGAATAAGAAAAATATAGAGTACAGATTTTTTCTTAATTGTATTTTTTAACTTTTTACTATGGTCGATTTCAAATTAATAGAAAGTAGAAAGGATAATATAATGAACCCTCATGTGCCCATTATCAGCTTCAACAGTACCACCTCACAGCCAGTTTTGCTTCATCCAAATGCCCACCTGCTTTTCTCTCCCACATTATTTTGAAGCAAATCCTAGACATCATATCATTTTTTTCATTTTATTTTTATTTTATTTTACTTTAAGTTCTAGGATACATGTGCTGAAAGTGCAGGTTTGTTACATAGGTATACATGTGCTGTGGTGGTTTGCTGCACCTGTCACCCCGTCATCTAGGTTTTAAGCTCTACATGCATTAGGTATTTGTCCTAAGGCTCTCCCTCCCCTTTCCCCCTACCCCTGATGATATCATATCATTTTATCTGTAGATTTTACAGTAAGTATCTCTACAAGATAAAGCTTATTTCTCAACCTCGTTTATTGTCTAGTAAGCAGTACAGATTTTTTTTCTCTTCGCCTTTTTTCAGTGTGGAATTGTGGGTAATTTTCTCTCTGATTTAGAATCCTTGATGACATTGAAGTTTATGAAGAACAGATTTCATTCAAACTGGAAGAGCTGGTCACTATCTCCTCTTTCCTGAATTCTTTTGTGTTTAAGATGATCTGGGATGGAATTGTAGGTAAGAGAAAAGGTGTCTGCTGTTGTTTGGTTGATGCTGCACCCAGGGAGGCCGAAGAGTCTATGGCATCAACTGATTCTTAGCTTTATTGTCTCTCCAAGTTAATAGAAGGTGCACATTTATTCCCACAATTGGAAATTTTCTTTCTTCACTCTCTGTGACTTCTTAAGATAGTGGTGTGGTTATAGAAGTCTTGCTCTCCCAGGCTCCCTTCAGGATTTGCATGTATGTGTCGAGGATTATTAATGATGATTAATTTTGCCCTGAATCTCCTGTTGATTCTTCCATTTGATTTCCGTGAAGATAAAACATGTGCCAGTGCACACTTGAGATGAGAGTCCACCTCCCGAAGTGTCTCCAATTGCTCAGGACAAAGCTCCTTAGACTTAAAAGGCCCTTCGGATGACACACTAGTGGGAGGCAGCATGAGTGATTTTGTCTGAGAGGTACTCAGGCCCTGCAGACACTTAGCACTTACCCAGGGTGCCTTTTAATTCTGTCGGTTCCACATATAATTCAGAGCGAGGGAGATCAAGGACTTGATGACAACTGCGGAAGACAAGAGCTGTCCTCCCCTTGCTCTCTGGCTCTGACTCCTCCTCTGACTTTCCTGTTTGTTTGTCCCACAGAGAACGCCAAGGGTGAGACCTTGGAGCTGTTCCAGTCTGTCCACGGGTGGCTTATGGTGCTGTACGAGCGGGACTGCCGGCGGCGCTTCACCCCCGAGGACCACTGGCTGCGAAAGTGAGCTCCAGGGGTGAGGAGGGCTCCATGGAAGCCAGCCTGCTCCGGCACGCTGCCCGAGCACTCAGCTCTCATGTTCTAGGGCAGAGAGGACTTTTTCCCTCTGCTTCATTTTGTCTGTTCATTTGTGTAAAGAGAGCTGCTGTCCCTGTGAAGCACCTGTCAGGACGCTTCTGTTAAGAGATGTTTACACCAAATATGATTAGAGTTAATTAATGGCAACAGAGCCAGATTATATTTAGCATACATTTCTCATCCAAACTAGGAAGAGGTCTTTTAGCTGAGCTGAGCAACAGAGCATGAGAGTTAAAAGGCAGTTTTTATTAGCAGAATTACTAGAGTAAAAACTGCTTTTAGGTTTTTTGGAGAGTAATGGGGTGGGGGAAATCCTCCTATCACAACTGAACATAGGCATGTATCTGCATTTTTATCAATGAGTTCAAGCTTTATGGCAACTGCTGAAGCTGTGGCACTAGAGCAGGGACTGGCAAACTTCTGTAAAGGGCCAGATGACTTTAGGCTTTGTGGACCAGACAGTCTCTGTTGTAGCTACTCAACTCTGCTCTTGTAGCACAAAAGCTGCCATAGGCTATACATGTATGAATGAGTATGGTCATGTTCCCATCAGACTCTTGAGAAACAGACAGCACCCTGCATGTGGCCCACATGGTGTCATTTCCCAGCCTCACACTAGAGGATGGTTTCCTTCTTTTAATTCTCCCAAACCCATGTCTTTCTTCTCAAGGGATCTCAAACCTAGCGTGCTCTTCCAAGAACTCGACAGGGACAGAAAACGGGCACAGTTGATCCTGCAGTACATCCCACATGTCATCCCTCACAAAAACGTGAGTTGCACTCAGAGCTGGGCCCCGATGTGTCTTTCTATTCCCCCACGTGGTTCCTGCCTTTCCATCCTTGCTATGGCAATTGGAGGTGACTAAGTGGGATCATTCATTCAGCACAAGGAAACGGTGGTTGCTATTACTTTGGTGAGGTTACACCCAGTGCTGGGGTACAGAGCTGGAGAAGACAGTGTGAACTGGCGATGCTGGTGGAGTGGCAGCCCAGGTACGGAGACCTGACCAGCTGGAGGGAGGGAAAGGGGACAGGAAAGGGTCCCACGGGCAAAAGTGGACAGTGTTGAAAGGCTGAGTTAGAAAGGATGAGGTGCTTTTGGAGAGTCAAATGTGCAGTGTGGCTGGAGAGAATAGAAAGGATGGGGTCAAGAGGAAGCCGAGGAGGGTAGTAGGAACTAGAGCAAGACAGCCTTAGAAACCAAGGCTGGGAGCAAGGGCTTTCTGCAAAGCCACCGGAGGGCTGGAAGCTTAGGAGGCACCTGGTCAGAGCCATACTTCAGGAAGGTCATCTTGGCTGCAGCGTGGAGGGCTGGCTAGAGGCAGGGGTGTTAAAGCAAGCTGTCCTGCACTAGGGTGGGCCCTGGGAGTCAAAAGATGAGCAAGTCAAGAGATTTTTAAGGAGGCCTCAGAGAATGGTCACATCCCAAGGGGAAAGAAAGGAAGAATTCAGGTGATGCTCGGGTGTCTGGCTTGGGTACTTGGGGGGTGTTTTCCTGAGGTGGAAGAGCAGGACTGGGACATGGCGGCGAGTTCAGCATCGAGCAGGTAGGATGTGAGATGTCTCTGGCTCCTGGAAGCCATTGGAAAGGGGGTCTGGCATTCAGGAGGGAGGAGCTTGTGTGGGGAGAGCACCCAAATCTCCTGACTGCCCCCATGGACTGGGTGAGGTAGTCAGGGAATCAGACAGCACCCAAGTCTGCTGACTCCCCCCATAACCTGGGCGAGGTGGTTGGGGAGTCAGACGGAGTGAGAAGTCCAGGGCACTGAGGCAGAGCCCTGCAGGACCCGTCCCACAGAGGGCCAACACGAGGAGGGAAGGAGGGAAACCAGGAGAGTGCCACACACCCGGGGGATGAGAGAGACTTGGGGAGGATTGGGCTGTGGCAGGAGCATCCAGGAAATGAGGGTAGCAAGCATGGCTCACGTCCCTGGTGAGTGGCAGGCACTCTGGAAATGTCCGATGCTGCGACAACACTCAGCTCCTCTTAGAAGAGTCTTCTAGGAGTCTAGGTTGTGTCCTTTATTTTTCTCCTGTTCTATTTTCTTTTTCTTTTTTTAACGAAGTAGACATATTTTTAGAAAAGAGCATAAATCATATTTTTGTAAATTAAATCTCATTTTTCAGAGGTATTTCATCCTCACTGCTGTCTGATACTGTTCTGTCCTTGACTTTAATACTTATGGTTGCTATTCTTTCCCCCTCAAGCAGTGATGTGCAAACAATGTGGCTGTTTAAATTCTTACTGCACTTGGCAAACTCTCAGAAGTGAAGGGCCTTACGGCAATTACTTAATCAAATGTGCCTTCCTTGAGGGAGCCCCTGCTATGATGTCCCTGACCTTGCTTCCAATAGAAAATGCACAGCTTTGCAAAACAGGCTGTTCTGTGGCTTTACTTTTCCAAAAGATAGAACATTCTTCCTCATCATGAACTGTGCTTCTCTGTAACTTCTACCCTTTGGTCCTTGAACAACCCCTAAAAGTGGCTTCTTTTATCTTCTGTGATCTGTTGGCAGCTCCCGTTTGCATGTGGGGCTTGTGTTTTCCAAGTGTAGTATCCTTAGCCTCTCCACCT
This sequence comes from Homo sapiens, assembly GCF_000001405.40. Classification (NCBI taxonomy): domain Eukaryota; kingdom Metazoa; phylum Chordata; class Mammalia; order Primates; family Hominidae; genus Homo; species Homo sapiens. The sequence goes on from NC_000012.12 coordinate 109,513,110, forward strand.
CGTCTTTGTTTGAAATAGGCTCCAGCCTTCATCTCCTGGGCCTCATCTGGTTTGGTGGTGTCTGGTTTAAAATGCAGCCCCTCCTCCTGGACCCGCGTGTCTGTGAAATCAGCCTCTGACCATTGCATTCCCATAACACATCGTCTAGACCCTCCGCTCTGTTTCTCTGTGGTTCACGTGTGCTGTGGCCACTGGAGGTGCTGCACAATATTTTAAATTTCTGAGGAGAACACAGTGAGACACCACATGAACTGCTAGTTCAGAGTAGTTCGTGGTTTCAACATGAGATTGCACTACATTCTTTTTAATGATGTTTGCAAAGCTGGCTTGTAAGAACAAAATAAAAATATTTTATATTTCAAAGTATGTGCATTTGTAAAATACAGCAACTGAGGTCTTAGGACATAAATATTTGGGACCTAACTACCTAGTAAAAAGGACTGCTAGGGATTTCTTTTGGCCTAGGAGTACCATGAAAAAAGTTACTGCAGTGATAGAGGTGCTGTGAATAAGAAAGTCAGGGAACCGCTGAGATAAATTGGAATGACTTTTAAGTCCAGGGTATATAGTAATCCCCACATTTTTTTTTTCTTTTGGGAATTTTGCTTAAATATGTCATCAAGGTTGTTTGTCCTTAGTTCATAAAATGTCCTCCCTCAGGAAAATGGGGCCCTCGTCATCTCCTGCCCCTTCCTGCTCCGTGATTGCAGGTCCTGGGGGAGTATCTAAGGCTTGGTGTTTTCAGAGCAGATGGGCTGTCTTGTTGCCCCTCCGCCCATCTCAAGCTTCAAGCTCCCCTTAGTGGCATGTGTGCTGCCCTCTGCCATTGAAATATTCTTGCTGGAGTACACAGGAGGGTAATAGGCTCTCTCTGCTCTGTTACCATTATACCATCTGCCCTAAATGTTGAACCTCTCCCTTGTTCTCGATTTCACTATAATGCCTTTCTTGTTTTCCTTAACATTTGTTAAAGCCTCAGCTCTGCCTGGCTCACGTGCACAGCACTTCATTTTCTGCACCCTCTTACATCGCTTTTACCTGTTTATGTGTGACTCATCCCCTGGCTGGCCCTTAAGTCCTCTCTGCCTTTTGTGTTTACCCAGAAGGCCTAAGAGGTGTGGAGTGGGCAGAGGCTTTGTAGTATGGGGGCTGTGTCTGGGCTTTGGATTTCATTCCATCCCCCTGCCCACCAACTGTGTAGCCTTGGGTGAGTAAGGTCTTCATCTGTAGAATGGGGAGAATGATCCGTACCCAACTGTCCACTGCAGTCGCTGAGGTTGCCCAGCCCTTGCAGCCTGGATAAGCTTGCCTCAGACTTTCTTCCATGCCCCATAGAAATCCAGAGCCCTGTCCAGGCTTTCTGTGGTCACTTCTGTCTCTTTAGTTCTGTTTCTGTGTCTTCTGCTATCTCCACCCCATACTGGATTGACCCAGATGTAACTCGCCTTCCGCCTGTGTATCACCAAACAGCACCCCTTCAGGTGGTCATGCCAAAGATTTGGGGTCATAGGAAGTAGTTGTGTCACAAACTACACGACTCCACATGACAAACACCTGTTCTCAAAAGTCCTACAGTTCCCCTGCCATGGAGGGGAGAGGTAGGAGCACCCTTCATTCCTATCACCAGCCTCCCTCCCTGTGTCCCCAATCTGTCCCCTCTCTTCTGCATGGCCCTGGAACCTCTCAGGGCTTTTGGTTCTACTCAGAGCACGTCAGTCCTGTCACGTCTAGATCTGTCAACCAGCCTCAGCAAGATGCTTCACTGAACAGTAGTTCCTCCACTCAGTACCATCCCCTTTCTTCTTCTTTTTTTTTTTTTATTAAGACAGAGTCTCGCTCTGTCGCCCAGGCTGGAGTGCAGTGGCGCGATCTCAGCTCACTGCAAGCTCCACCTACCGGGTTCACGCCATTCTCCTGCCTCAGCCTCCCGAGTAGCTGGGACTACAGGTGCTCGCCACCACGCCCAGCTAATTTTTTGTATTTTTAGTGGAGACGGGGTTTCACCGTGTTAGCCAGGATGGTCTCGATCTCCTGACCTCATGATCCGCCCGCCTAGGCCTCCCAAAGTGCTGGGATTACAGGCGTGAGCCACCGCGACTGGCCCATCCCCTTTCTTCTTAAGGGGCTGTTGGTCATTGCTTTTTTTGTTACAATCATATTTGCCTAATAGAGTTAACATAATAATTAAATGAAAATATACTAGCACCCACTGGTATATAGTATTTCCTGTTGTTGTTACTATTATTACTGTTTTTTTGTTGTTGTTGTTGTTGTTTTGAGACAGAGTTTCACTCTTGTTGCCCAGGCTGGAGTGTGATGGTACGATCTTGGCTCACCACAACCTGCGCCTCCCAAGTTCAAGCGATTCTCCTGCCTCAGCCTCCCGAGTAGCTGGGATTACAGGCATGTGCCACCACGCCCAGCTAATTCTATATTTTTAGTAGAGTTGGGGTTTCTCCCTGTTGGTCAGGCTGGTCTCGAACTCCCGACCTCAGGTGATCCACCTGCCTCGGCCTCTCAAAGTGCTGGGATTACAGGCGTGAGCCACTGTGCCCAGCTGTTACTGTTCTTATTTGTATTTAATAAAGTTCTTGACTTTGGGGGAGATTCCCATTTTTAAAAAAACAGCTGTGGTTAGATTTATGTATTCATTCAGCTGACTTGATTTAAATGGTATTAGGGTGCTGATTCTTGAGCCCAGGATGGGGCAAAGAGTCATGCTCTTTCTAAATAGGTTTAGCAGAATCTTAAGAATAAGGAGAGAGGGTTCCTTTCAAGCAGTAATTGAGAAATATTACTGGTGGGACTGTGGTGGGCTTGAAGGCACAGAGGAGGCAGGTTGAAAGGTCAGGGAGCTTTATACTGTAGGGTCATTTTTAAATTTTCTGACAGTAGGAAAAGTTATCTTTGAATTATTTTTGTTCTTAGGATTCATAATATTGATTTCCCTTAAAGCAGGCACAGCTAGATAAAGAAGGCTCTGTAACTTGTTCTGCCACCAAGTTTTTATAGTGGATTATTGACTGAATGAGGAGGATTTTCTTTTTTCTTTTTTTTCTTTTTTTTTTTTTTTTTTTTTTGAGACAGAGTCTCACTCTGTCCCCCAGGCTGGAGTGCAGTGGCACGATCTTGGCTCACTGTAACCTCTGCCTCCTGGGTTCAAGTGATTCTCCTGCCTCAACCTCCCAAGTAGCTAGGATTACAGGTGCATGCCACCACACCCAGCTAATTTTTGTATTTTGTATTTAGTAGAGACGAGGTTTCACCATGTTGGCCAGGCTGGTTTTGAACTCCCGACCTCAGGTAATCCGCCCACCTGGGCCTCCCAGAGTGCTGGGATTACAGGCGTGAGCCCCCACGCCCAGCCTTGAGGAGGATTTTCTCGTGGGCCATTCCTAGCTGGACCCTAGCTGCAGCCAGACCACTCTTTCCGGAACGTTTTTTGCTTGTGTATTCAACAGTATTTCTAATTCCCACAAGTGTTCCAGGGAATGCTTCTGTTCTCACAGGACACTTCTAACTGGTAGCACATGTTAAGGCATCCCATTCTGCTTGCATCTCATCTAACTTCAGTTTCAGTCATTTTTGCAGAGTGTTTTTATGGAATCGTCAGTTTGCTGACCCTGTTTTCTGATCCCGCCTTTGTTCATTTTAGAGAGTTCTACTGTTTCGAACCATGGTTACCAAGGAGAAGGAGAAACTGGGGCTGGTGGAAACCAGCTCTGCCTCCCCGCATGTCACTCACATCACCATCCGCCGGTCCAGGATGCTGGAGGTGAGTGTGAAGCCTATGGAATCCTACCACAAGGAAGTGGGCCCTGCAACATGGAAGCTCTTTAGTGGACGGTCTCTGGCTTTTGAACTGTTCCTGTTACTCCTTGATCTGAAATTAAGGCTCTGGGAGCAGGAAAGGGGTCATTTGTCCTGTTGACTGCTCTGAACAGCTGCTTGGTTAAACATGTTCTCATTGCTGGAGACCCAGCAGTGTCTTCCTTTACCCCATGAGAGCTAGAGTATCCTGGGCTAGAGCATCCACCTCTTCATGTCCCTTTGAAATGAGGACAGGAGCTGCCAGTCACAGCGGCTGCACTAACACTCTCAGGTCTGTGCAAACTCCATTTGTCCCAGCAGGCACTTTGCTGAGACTCTCAACTGTGATTGTAGTATATAAGTGGAGTGGAGGTGTTACATTTACTGAGTTATGTAGAGAAATACTTTTATCACAGAGCCAGAAGTTCTTTGTAGACAGAAACTTACAAGATACCACTGAAGTGACCCACCTGAGCTAAATCCGTTGTCTGGAACTACCACTATACGGTGACTCCATGTAAATTAGAGATAGGTACCCAGTCCTCATATGTCAGAAAATTGTCACAATACATTGGTTTTGTTGGTACAAGACCGTGCCTCCAATCTGCTGGAACATGGTTGTCATAAACTTAACTACCTACGATGTCTGTGTTATCCATGCCACAGCCTCCCCTGGGCTTGTATAGTGCACAGCCTACCCATACATGCTCATCCTGCCAGCGATAGAATTGGTGACTGAGCCACAGTCCCCATTCCCTGGAGAGGCTTGGCTTCATTTATTTGCCATGTTTGCACTTCAGACCTTTTTATCACACTCCAGCTGCAGTTCCCCATGAGCCTGTCCTGTAGTGTAGGACAGTCACGGGATCCCCTGAAGTATGTGGCCAGATAGCCACCCCCACCAGCAGATGGCTTCTGGCAGCAGCTGTTCCTCCTCACGTGTCTTCATTTTCTCCCTCGGTGCATCGTACCTTGTTTGTGTCACTCCTTACTGGAGAGCTTGTTTGAGTGCCCCTGGCCACTGGTGATCAATGCCGAGAGCTGCTAGGAAGGCAGTGTGTGCTGAACAGTGGATGTTTCTGACATTCTTCAAGGTAGGCATAAGGAATTGAAGGGCCCACTGGGCCCTGCAGGCCATGTGAAGGAGTAAAGCTGGCTGAGTGGGTCTCATTACAGGAGCATTCTGTTTGCGTGCTAGACATATAGAAATAATCTCCACTTCTGCGCCCTCCTGTTCTTGAAACAGCCCTCTTGGTCTGTGTAGCTCTACTTGAGAAAAATAGCCCCCACGAGTGAGTTGATAAATGGCAACTGACACCCAGCCTCAGTGTTGGGGAGCAGTTGGAAGCACGTGCCTCCCCAGAAGAGGCCACCGCCACTCAGCTCCTCCAGACCTGCCATGTGACGAGGTGGGCTCCATAACGCTCTTGAGTTTTTAAGAGAAGGCCAAAATTCAGATCTTCCATGTTGTGAACTAATTGAACTCTGTAAAGTGCCTAGAAAGTCAGATAACACCTGTCTTTCCACCAAATTCAACCTGTGGGCCACCCATTTGCAACCTCTGCTTTTGATTCAGAAAAAGCCCAATTGTGTGGTAGGGACTCCCTTTCTAGCACTTCCCTCTGCAGACCCAGATGCATCTCCCTTGTCTCTAGAAATCCTCAGCCCCACTACCCATCACGCCTACCCAGACGTGGCCAGCACCCACCCATGGGAAGAGTCTGGGGTGGTATAGATTGCAGTATCTCCTGAGAGTGGCAGAATCCGACTCCCTTCACAAATATCATTGCTTATTGGAAATTCACTTGACATCCCAGTTACTCTGGCCCTACTTTTTAAAGCATATCCCTCAGGGATGGCAAAAGAGATGTCTGTCTTAGGCTTTAGGCAAAGTCCCTTTTCCTCTTTACTTTCCACTGGAGAAGGGGAGAGGGTTGTTCATTGTTATCCCAGTTGTCGTAATCTGGTGGCTTGGTTATTAGAATATGAGAGCCCAGGGGCCTTTGCTGGATTTGGACACAAGGGGGCGTCAGTAAGCTGATCTCAGACTCATGCTCTCCTGGGCATTGTTTCCTTTTTTATGGTTAGTATTGAGGGCTATGCTTCTCTATTAGGCTTCCAGATATTAAAGTCCTGTAGGAAGGCTCTTCTTCCCAGAGGGTGAGTTTGGGCTGGAACTCTAGTATTCAGAACCGGAAGGATCCTCAAACATACTCTTACCCAGTCCTTTCCCCTGTCTCTGTCAAAGGCAGAACTGAGGCCAGAGAACTTCAGTCAAGGTCACTTGGATATCAGTGATAGAGCTGGGCCTGGAAGCCAGGCATCCCTTTTCTAGCTCAGTATTCCCTGTGTGTGCATGTTGAGATGCAGTGAAGAAGAGGAACGCTGACTCACATTCACCTCCCAAGAGGCATGGATATAATCCTCGCATATCCACGCCAGTTCCCAGAAGGCAGGAAATGTATCACAAGAGGCAGTCCCCTCTAAACGTTTAAACAAAGAGGCTGGTGTGGAGCTGATCAAGCAAGACTGAGATTTGAATCCAGTAAACGCTCCTTGAGCTAGGCCATGTGCCACTTGCTTTCACATGTACCATCCCATTTCATCCACATAACCACAAACGCATCTACTAATGCGTGTGAAGGCTGGGGAGGCATAATTTTAAAGCAGGTTGGAGGAACTCCTGCAGGCAGACAGGAACTTGATGGAATTCTCCATCCGTTCTCATCTCAGTGCCAAGATAATTATCTTAAATTTAGGCAGAATGGTTTAAATGCTGTTACAGCTGCCTGTTGACTTCCTGTTTCTCCCTTTTGTCATCTAACTTAATGATTCTCAAACTTTATGTACATAAAAAGTCCTTCTCAGGTTTGCCTCCACAAAACTGTGCTCCTGTTCCCACATGTGACTTAGGGGTCTTGAGAGGTAATTTTCCCTTGCCCACTAACTTTGAAGCCTAACCCCTGAATCGGGGCACCATAGGATAGTCCTTTGGGGATCACTGGGTGAACATGGCAGGAAGGCAGCAAGGGTTCCCCAAAACAGGTCTCGCCACACTGGCATACTGCTCGTTTGCTTTGTGATGAGGGGACCAGACGGCAGCCGAGTGGATGCTGTGGAGACAGCCTGTCTAACCTGCGAAGCATGTGACAGTGTTACAGTTGTAGCTGAAAGGGAGAAATGTGGCATGGCCTTCATAGGACAGCAGGGTTGATTGGTCACTTGTTCCATCACAGTGTCTGAAGACATCAGTTTCACCTGGTGATTGGGCCTCTCAAGTCGGGCCAACAGACTCTTCCCTGGGCCCTGTGCTGTTCAGCACTGTTTTTATAGTCACTGCTCTGAAATAAAAACCTCAGCACCCCAAGTACTAGGAATGCATTAGATGATGGAACCAGAAGCCAGGAAGGCCTCAACAGATTAGAATCAAGAGACAAACTAAACAGATGATTTAGTAGGAGAACTCCAAAGTTGTGGTTCTGGGGCTGTGCATGTTGAGGTCTGGATGGAGTAGATGTGCTGAATGGCTGTGTCCTAACAGAGCTGACCACCAGCCAGAAGTCCAGGCCCAGCACCACCCCCACATCTCGGTCTCTGCTCCCTGCGTTGATCCCTGCCATCCACCTGCTCTGCTGCCAATAGAAAGATCTGACAGAAAGTCAGCCCTGTTACTCTTTGCCTAAAACCTTCTGCAGCTCCCATTACCTTCAGGATGTCCCCTAAATTCCTCAGCATGACTTGCAGGCACTTCATGATTGGGAAGGCAGCGGGAGATGAGGGGTGATGGGTAATTCTTTTCATTTTACAGTGTTCTGTAGGTTTGATTTTTTTTTTTTTTCTTTTTTCTTTTTTTTACCATGAGCTAAAGATACTCTTAGCATTGAGAGAGAGAGAAATGTATCTTGTCCCGGTTTCTTTCATCCTTTGTCTGATGGCCAGGAGCTTGTCATGACTCATTTTGTCTAACTTCCCCATCTCACTGCTCTGTCCCCTTGAGGTCAGTCTCCCCTTGCCAAGGAGTGATACTGTCACATCCCCAAATGAATCTTTGCTTTTAATCAGCACTCATTCAAAAGCAGGTGAGAACGGCTCCTGTCATGCATCCACGTTTCATAATTTGCACATTTGGTAATGATGCTGGGAGAGCTTCGCACAGAGGAGAGGGAACCCCGAATTGTGTGCATAAGGCTTTGGGCTTCCTAATGGGCTGTAATTCTGCTCTTGGCAGGACGGCTACGAGCAGCTTAGGCAGCTCTCCCAGCACGCCATGAAGGGGGTCATCCGTGTGAAGTTTGTCAATGACCTCGGGGTGGACGAAGCAGGGATTGATCAAGACGGTGTTTTTAAGGAGTTCTTGGAAGAGATCATCAAGAGAGTTTTTGACCCAGCACTCAATCTGTTCAAGGTATTTAAGGGGAGCAACAGCAGGGCTGACAGCAGCCAGATTCAAGAAGTGAAGAGCTGGGCTTGCTCCTTGCAAGGCACTTGACCTCTGCCTCTCCCCGTCTTTTTGCCTTGCAGACAACCAGTGGGGATGAGAGGCTGTACCCCTCACCCACATCCTACATCCATGAGAATTACCTGCAGCTCTTCGAGTTTGTGGGGAAGATGCTGGGGAAGGCTGTGTATGAGGTAGGAACGTTAAGAAACAGAGAAATGTAAAATAAAATGTTAACGGTACCATGGGCTTCTTCACATACACATATGTGATCAGGCTTGGCCATGTAAACTGTCACTAGGATACAAGCGAGGACAGGGGCAGGAACCAAGGTTTGTTGTACACCAGTGCTAGGTACTTTGCCTGTGGCATCTCATCTCATCCCATCGACAGCCCTGTGACGGGGCTGCCACTGTCCTGGCTATTTAAGGATGGGAGACCTGAAGCTTTGAGGAGTCACCTGTCCAGAGTTTCGTTGCTAGTTAAGTGGTAGAGGTGGAATTTGAACCCAGGCCGGCCCAAGTCCTAAGGCCAGCCCTCTTCTTTCCTGAGGCATGAGGAGTGGTGTGCAGAGCCAGATGGCCACACGGAGGCTGGGTCCCCGTTGTAGGAGGGCAGCATTTTGTGGAGTTTGATAGTTTTAAAATCTTGTGTTGTTTGAGTGAGTGCTTCCCAGCCATGGCAACAGGACAGGACCAGCTGTTCCTAGTCAGCCGTGTGACCATGTGCCTTCAAGTTTCTTTAGTTTTTAAGCCGTGTTCTCGCATCAGTAAAGTGGAGATAAGAAAAGCCACATTCCTGGGTTGCCGTTAATGGTAAGTGAGGAGGGCCTTCTACGGTGCCCAGCCAGCTGCTCACACCAGGTGGATCGGAGCAGTCATCCTCACCTTACTAAGAGGAAGTGAGTCTGGGTTTCCACTCTGTGGCCTGATGGGGTCAGGGTGATGTGGCCCACACAGCTCCTGTCCATTGAAACCCCGTCCATTGAAAGCCAAGGTGGGACCACCTTCAGTGGGAAGTCACCGCCTGTTCCTTGGGAGAGTCCTGTTTCCCAGGAGGAAGGAAAGCTGCAGCACAAGCCCAGCCAGTCTGTGTGGCCTTCGCAGTGGGCTCCAGAGCTGCAGGGACCCTGCCTGGGTCTCAGGCTCTGCTGAGCTTCTGGCCCAAGCACGGAGGAAGCGAGCCACCTGGGCAGCACTCCTCGCATACCCCAGGAACCTGGAGAAGCCAGATGCTTTCCAAACAGAAAGAGCCAGCAGCTGGGCCAAGCTGAGAGGGAGGTCTCAGGGCCAAACTCCTTTCACTCTCGAATAATCCATTGTTCTCTCTGTCTGGAAACAGTCTATGTGCACCGGCCTCAGTCCCTGGCCATGATGGAATCAGGTGGCCCATCTGAGCCCCTGCCCAAACACCATCCAGTCTTCCTTGTGCCCTCCAGTGATTTGGGTCCTGGGCCCATTCTCTGTGCCTCTGTTTCCTCATCTGCATAATAGAAACAATTTCTCAGTTGATTTCCATTGAAAAAGTTAAAAATCCCATTAGGACCCACCCGAGCACATGGCATATGTTTTCCTTTAAACACGTTGCTGTGATGACACTCAGAAGAGCCTGGGCCACCTGGAAAGCATGGCCTCCTGGCTTCTCTGAATGTCATGCCATTTCCCAGGCCTCGCCTCTGTGTCCTTTCCCTCCCTCACCTCTGACAGTAATTGTGCTGACGAGAGAAGATGGGACCTGCTAGGCCCTGCATGAGGAGTGGCATGGATTAACTCATTTACCCCTTACGGTCCTCTGACAGGTGTCATCAAGTCCGAGTGACTGTCCCCTCTCAGCCTCTCCAGTCCACATGTCTCTCTCCACCCTCCTGCCGCTACCCTGGCACAGTCTGTCGGCGTTTTCCCCTGGCAGCATGCCACAGCCGTCTGGCTGTGTCTGCCTCCTGTCTTCCTCTCGCCAGCCCATTCCCCACATAAAAGTGCAGCTCTGTCCCTTCCCTGCTCAGAGCCCTCTGGACAGAATCCAGCCTGCAGCAAGGCTTACGGGCCCTCCCTGACCTGGCCCTGCATCCTCATTGGACATAGCTTCCATTGCTTCCGTGCCCTCCATCCCTGGAGTATGCCTGGGGCCTCGTACCAGTGCCTGGCTGGCTCCTTTAGGCCTCACTTAGCTGGCTTTTCCTCCCGGAAGCTCCCCAACTCTGCCTTTGGGGGAGAGCTTATCCTCTGTGCTCCTCTGGCCCCTGCCAATGCCATGGCTGCCCTGAGAGCTTGGGGGTGCTGGTACTGTGCACGTTCCATCCTCTTAACTGAGAGGCTGGTGCTGCCCCCCACTGACAGGTGAGACAGCTGAGGGCCCCTGGCTTGGCAGCAGCCCAGCTAGGATTTAATCCCTGAGCACTGTAGCTCCAAACCATGTGTCCTGACCACTGCGCTGTCCCCAGGAGGCACTCAGTTGTATTTGGTAGAGGATGGGGAGATACTGCCCTCCGGATTGGAAACTTAGGAGGGGCCTGGAAATGCCGATGGCACCCCTGGGCCATGTCTGCACCCTGAGCCACCCCAATCCAAACACTGCATCAGAATCCTGGCTGATGGACAGCTCTGCTTCTCTGCTCTCCCAGGGAATTGTGGTGGACGTGCCATTTGCATCCTTCTTCCTGAGCCAACTGCTTGGGCACCACCACAGCGTCTTCTATAGCTCGGTGGATGAACTGCCTTCTCTGGACTCCGAGTTCTATAAAAACCTCACCTCCATCAAGGTGAGCATGGAATGGTGGGTGAGCTAAGCCGAGCACTGGTGTGAACTCACAGCTTGCGAAGTCCCAGAAGGAGATGGCCTGTCCTCTCTTATTGCTGTTGCTGTAGCTGCTACAGGCCCCTCACATCCCCCTGTGGGCAGTCCCACTTGGGGCTGATCCTCACAACCTCCTTCCTCAAAGTCACGAATGACTTTCTTTGCGTCAAGCTGTTCAGCAGCCATGGGTGTTCCCAGCACCAAAGCAGCGCCTCAAGGGAGGGTTAAACCTCTTAAGCACATAGTGCTCCATGGCCCTAACACTTTCCCCTTCTCTGTTACATTAGCGCTATGATGGGGACATCACTGACCTGGGCCTGACGCTGTCTTACGACGAGGACGTCATGGGTCAGGTAGGTCCGCCCTTTGGCTGAGCTCCCTTTCCACTGCCCCCATGGGCTCCTGAGACCTGCCGTGTTATTTGTTTTCCTCAGAAAGAGCCCCAAGCTGAGGCTCTGTCTGGTCCCTTGTCCTCCCCACCCCTCGCCCATCCTCCTCCCCTCTTGCCAGGAGGGAGGGCCCCCTCCTTTCCTTCCCAGTTGACCTGGCCTTTGAAGCTTCCCGCAGAGACCCTGCTTTCTTATATCGCATTTTAGGGTAATTCCCCATTTGTAACATGGCTTTTCGTTACCATGGTGAGGATTAGCCGTTACAAATGGAGGATTATGTCTTAGAGAAGGGGAAGATGCCACCTGAGAAGCGCCTCAAGCTCAAGCAGAAGCCTGTCCTTGTTCATTCTCAGCATACAGAGCAGAGCAGGGAGCAGAGACCCTGGTCTCAGGGCCGCAGCACGTCTCCTCCCACGGTTCCTTCTGGCTTTTCTCTGTAGCAGCCTCCGCGCCCTTTGATTGTGTCCTGGTGGAGGTCCCTGCATGAGGCTCTGGGAGTGCAGGTCCAAGGGCCGCTCAGGAGAAACCACGCCATGAGCTTCTTAATGCAGAGCCGACTTATTAGACTCGCGCTTGGGCACCTCAGAACCCCCAGTCTCCCTGAGCCACACTTTCCATATCCATTTGCCAGATGCGAGTCCTGGATGGGCCCAGTCTGTAAGCACCGCTGGGAGCCCTGCGTGGCCTGTCCTCCTGAAAGGCCCCTGGGCAGGCTGGCACGTGAAGGCTCTGAGAAGCCTGTAAGGAGGAAACCAAAGTGGAGCTGAGTTAATCTCAAGCTTCCCTACATCCTGGGACACAGAACTCTTCTTTGAAGGAAGGAAAGAATGCTGTCTCGCAGGATCGTTCTCTACAGAATAGCTCACGGGCAGGGTGTTCCTGGAATCAGGGGAAACCTCAGGCTGGCTGATTCTTAAGGGCCCTTTCAGCTTTAAAACCCACTGGTGCCACCTGAGATGCTGACAGCAGTGGGACTGGGATCAGTGTGTTCCTTTCTAGAGCTGTAGGGTTATAGAATCTTCACAGAATTTCTATTAAAATTGGCTTCAAATGATATGTCCTTTGATTTTTAGGTGATCCACGGAAGTGTTCTTGAAGTTGAAAGAAGCAGTTGATTTTACAGAGTTTAAAATAAATCTATAATCAGATGTTGAGGCTTTATCCTGACATAATTTTTCTCCCGACTATAAAGATAATGAAACTTCTAACAAAAAAAAATTAGCTCTAATATGAGCAAAAGATGAAAAGATAATGAAACTTCTAACAAAAAAAATTAGCTCTAATATGAGCAAAAGATGAAAACGCAAGCTGCCCGTAATGCCAGTGCCCACAGGGTGCCCGTGATAGTGTGTTACCTGCGTCCCTTGAGACTCTTTCCCGAGTCTCCCTTTCCAGAAATGATGCCATTCTGTGCATGTTGTTACATCAGTGGCCTTTTTTCACCTTTTTAGTAAACGCACATTTTCATCATATTGTTTAGTACCTGCACAGTATTCCAGGGTATGGATGTACCAGTGTTTATTTAACCGTCCTACTCTACTCCGAAATGCCAACACATTCCCCTCCATGACATCCCGAAGTCTTAATACAAATGTTTGAACAAGGATTGGGTGAGAAAAAAACCTTTTGTATTGATCATGCAGGGTCTGCTTGTTGATATTTCAGCCTTGACTTTTTATGAGAAAGGATGGTTCCCAAGCATGTGCCATCTTAATTCCATCATTATCATGGATGTTTGTGCTGGGCCCTCTCATCTCCGGGAAGCTTTATTTCCCCATTAGAGTCCTCCCTATTAATTACTCCCATCTTCTCCCCCAGCTTGTTTGCCATGAACTGATTCCTGGAGGGAAGACCATTCCTGTTACAAATGAAAATAAGTGAGTATAGCAATTAGGTTTTTAAGGTCACCACTTGAAAAGACTTCATTCTGGCTCTCTGCGCTTATGTTGAGAATTTATTAAGATAGATTGAAGTAGAAAGAGGCCATAAATATCATAATGGAATTTACTGGTTACAGTTCATAGGCCAGAATTGTATTAAATTCAATTTGCGGCCGGGCACAGTGGCTCATGCCTATAATCCCAGCACTTTGTTAGGCCGAGGCGGGCGGATCACGAGGTCAGGAGTTCGAGACCAGCCTGATCAACATGGTGAAACCCCGTCTCTACTGAAAATACAAAAATTAGCTGGGCGTGGTGGCTCATGCCTGTAATCCCAGCTACTCAGGAGGCTGAGGCAGGAGAATCGCTTGAACCTGGGAGGTGGAGGTTGCAGTGAGCCAAGATCGCACCAGCGCACTCCAGCCTGGGCGACAGAGTGAGACTCCGTCTCAAAAAAAAAAAAAAATTGATTTGCAAAATAAGAATTGACCATTTATTTTTTGCAGTAGCACTTCTAAGGTCAGAGGCACCCAGGCCACGGTGTTCTTAGGAGTTTAATAACGGCCCTAGATGCTGACAGATGGATTCTGAGCCATTCAGCACACTGTCCTGAACCCAGAGGGCACAGAGGTGGAAAGACACCTTGGCGGGGAGGGGCAGATCATTTTGGATGATAGCACGTGGCAGTTGTATAAAACAGTGTTCTTGAGAAGACACCGTGATGAATTCAAATGCCACAGACGGAGGTCCTTAGACATGGGAATTGGAGAGACTCTGAGGCCCAGCAACTATTGTCACAGATAAAGGGCTCTGCAGAATCTATCATAAATGTCATCCTTTTTGGTCCCTAGAAGCAAAACCTCTCAGTGCATGGTCTCCACTCGGCCCTATTGTCACCTAATTAAAACAGTGGAGCCTGGCATGAGAAGCAGACATTGGCCCCCTTGTCAGTTTATCAATCTCCCGCCGCCAGGCTCAGTTGAGCATTTGAACTGTTAATTGGAGCATCAGTCTCTTTAGTGACAAGTGAGGGCTCAGTCCCACCTGGTGAGTCATTTGAATCAGATGCACGTCGCAGTCCAGTGTTCCCAAGCATCATGTTCCTCTCGGATCAGGTGGTTCAGTCAGTCTGCAAGCTTGGGACTTTTTTATTTAGACTGTCAGAAACGTCAGGAGAACAGACCCTGTTTTCATAATGATTGAAATACACCGGCCTTGCTCCTTGGCCACAGGGCATTAGTTTGAAAACTTAGAAGGAACAAAGTGCAGATTGGGAGGGACTGCCTGCAAGAGTAGAGAGGGCCCAGCCAGGGCCAGAGAGAGAGCATGGTGAGTCCTGCCCCTGCCTGCCATGTAACCTGTAGCCATTCCTTTAGGGGGGTGCTTGTAGGGCAATGTGTATAAAATACCTTCCTGGGTGTCAGGCTCAGAGGAGGGCTTAAATGACAGCAGTGATGTTTACCATCCTCAGATGGGTGACGTGTCACATGGATCCTGCCACCCCCTGAGAGGACACGCATTGCCAGGTGTTGCAGCTTGGGGGTGACAGTAGGTAGTCACTCACTCTCCCCACATAGGCACTGGCTGCTAAGTAGAGCGCCCAGAGGAGGTAGGTGGGAGCAGGCTGTGCTGGAGGGAGAGTCCTGTCCTGCTGGGAAACCTCCTATGTGGAAACTTGTTTCACAGATTCTTAGCATTTATAGCATAAAGCCTCAGGTCAGGGTAAGGATACTCAGTTCTGCATACTAACTCAAAAGGCCTAGCAGTGCCAGTTTCTCCCTCTTTAGGGGTGATACTTGATCTTGCACTTTATGAGTGTTGGATGTTTCCCATACTCTCTTCTCTCGTATCTCCCTCTCTCCTTCCCTCCCTCTCACCTCCTCCCTTCCTCTCCCCCTTTCTCAGTAAAGTGGAGCAGTACTCGTCACCTGCTTCAAAGTATACCTGGAAGGAGGAGCAATGATAGGAAAATCGTATTTGTATGTATTAATATACAGGTTTGCTGCTGGAAAATTTTTTTAAATAGGGATATTTTTGAGATTACTAAAGCTTTAGCATTGTAAAACATTTATTTGGACTCTACTGATTTGGAATTGGTGAGAGTCATACGTGGGCCGGGCTCAAGTTCTTTGCTAAGAAATCAGTGATGCAAGGCTGGGTGCGTTGGCTCACACCTGTAATCCCAGCACTTTGGGAGGCCAAGGCAGGTGGATCACCTGAGATCAGGAGTTGAAGACCAGCCTAGTCAACATGGTGAAACTCCGTCTCTACTAAAAATACAAAAATTAGCTGGACATGGTGGCAGGCGCTGTAATGTCAGCTCAGGAGACTGAGGCAGGAAAATCACTTGAACCCAGGAGGCAGAGGTTGCAGTGAGCCGAATCGCGCCATTGCACTCCAGCATGGGCGACAAGAATGAAACTCCATCTCAAAAAAAAAAAGAAAAGAAAAAGAAAAGGCCAGGCGTGGTGGCTCACATCTGTAATCCCAGCACTTTGGGAGGCCGAGACGGGCAGATCACCCGAGGTCAGGAGTTTGAGACCAGACTGGTCCAACATGGTGAACCCCATCTCTACTAGAAATACAAAAAAATTAACTGGGTGTGGTGGTGCATGCCTGTAGTCCCAGCTACTTGGGAGGCTGAGGCAGGAGAATCGCTTGAACCCGGGAGTCAGAGGTCGCAGTGAGCTGAGATCGCACCACTGCACTCCAGCCTGGGTGACGGAGTGAGACTCTGTCTCAAAACATAAATAAATAAAAAGAAAAAAGAAATTAGCGATGCTAGCAAGCCTGTTGGAATGTATGTAACCTGTTGAGAGGATTATATGCTTTATGCAGTTGTAGTTGAGGGCACTGTGTTCATCACAGCAGACCCAGAGACCCTCTGCTTGGAACCATTGTAAGTTGCTCTGACTTCCCAGTTGAGTCCACTCCTAGCCCAGCTGCGTGTTTAAAGCATCTGCAGGTCCGCCTTGCCATAGCATTAGACTGTTGATCCAGATTAGCAAGGTTTTGATTAAAGTTTTGACATGAAACAATTTTTTTCTATTTTAAAACTTATTAGAGGACTGAATGGTATCTTAATTGATTTATGTCCAGAAGAATGAGATTAAATGAAAGTCCAAAAAGCACCCTTTGTACTAAGAAGGGCCCTCTTCTTACGTGGGGAATGTCTCCTTGTGATTCCCGACATAGTGGGGGCTTACCCCGAGGTGTGACCTATGGGTTTTGGGGAGGAGTGAATGATGCAGTGCCCTCAAAGGCTTGATGTGCACACAGTGGCGTATGGTGTGCAGTTCGTGAGTGCTGTCGTCATTGTCGCCATTGTCATTGTTCTGATGAAACACTCTGGTACTATTTGTGTTTTTTGTAAAATGGTTCAGAAATGACTAGACTGTCTTTCAGCCCATTGGTGACAGCCTGCCCCGTCCTGTTAATTGTCATTGTTATCTCTTCCTTGTTGGCAACAGAATTAGCTACATCCATCTGATGGCACATTTTCGAATGCACACTCAAATAAAAAACCAAACAGCTGCCCTCATTAGCGGATTCCGTTCCATTATCAAACCCGAGTGGATCCGAATGTTCTCAACTCCTGAACTGCAGCGTCTCATCTCTGGCGACAATGCTGAGATTGATCTGGAAGATTTAAAGTAAGAGGCGGGTGGGGGGAAGGGTGAAATTCCTTGGCCTCCCAGAAAGCCAGCTGCTCCCTCGCTGGGTTCCTTTTAGAGAGTTGTTTTAGGAGCCTGTCTCCAGATCTCCTTCTCCTCCCTGGACTGGCTAGACTGCTTTGGATTAAAAGCTTGACCACTTGTCTGCCTAGAGATTAAGAAGTGGAAGCAGGCCTGAGGACTGGGGGTTCTCTGAAGCTCTAGGAGATGGGGTCAGAGGATCTGGGGCTGGCCTCTGCTTGGGAACAGCAGGGCCAGCTCTCAAATTCCCCACCCTTTTAGCTTCCCAGGGAGATAGAGTTATTGAGGCATGAACTTCTGGCTTTAAGAGAAATTAGTAGTGTTCCCCAGGCCTGCCAGAGTGGACCGTGCCAGCTGTCTGCATGACCTGCCTGCCTGTCCATAAGTGCCCACGCTAGCACATTGCTGAGCCCAGGTCTGTATTGCTTTCAGGAAGCACACAGTCTACTACGGTGGTTTCCATGGAAGTCACAGAGTCATCATCTGGCTCTGGGATATTCTGGCCTCCGACTTCACACCGGATGAGAGAGCTATGTTTCTGAAGGTATTTTATTTATTACCTATGCATGCATGCATGTATTCTCATAAACCTGGAAGGCCAGTTGATGTAATAATTTACGCTGAAGAAACTGAAATTATCAGGAGGACCTCAGATAGTCAGCACATCCTCTCCCACAGGCAGGCCTCCCGGTAGGCCAAGCAGTAACCAGAGAGGGGCTTGAGGGGCACGGCCGAGCCTGCTGTGTGTCCCTGGCTGCAGGGACAGGCCCCCTGCACAGGTGGGCATACCTGTTGTGCTCGGCACTCCGTCCTCCCCTTTGCCTATGCTGGCCTTGATAACATCTTTTTTCTTTATTTCCTTTCATTATAGAAGTAAATGACCCTCTGCTTGGAACCTTACCTTAGGAAAATACAGATAAGCAAAATATTAAACAATTGCTGTTCCTCCAGTATGGAATTGTCAACTCTCTACACTCCTACTCACCAGGGACTGTCTCTCTATACCCATTTTCTCAATAGCGTAAGACACACATACACACCCACAGTGTCCCAATAAAACACACACAATTGCTTAGGCTGATATCAAGATGTATTTTTGCAAATAAAGTGGCTGACGTTAACTGGTTCCCCAGTTATGGTGTCTGTAAAAGTTGTAAATGTTCAAAATATTCCCCTAATGCCATTGCATTGTTTTTTGTTACTGACATCAGCAGTGTGTAAGTATTTCCTAGGACGCTGAATGGCACACACGCTTCTCTGTGTATGTGTTATATATGTGTATATTTCTCTAAAAATGGGATCCTATCATTTCCCACCAGCCTTCCTACTTGACAGAATATCAATGAACATTTTGCCATGTTCTGGTGGTAAATTTAGTGCCTTGAAATGTTTTCTTTTGGAGGTTTGGGCTTGAACAATCTCATGTGGCCTCATCTGTTGAGGCAACCTGGACAGTGTCACTGGCAATTAAAATGACAGCTGGTTTCCTCTCTCCTGGGTGGTCATTCTGAGGAGAGTTTATTCCTGTTGAAGAGGCCCTCACGCAGTCCAGCAGATAACACAAATGCCCCACATCCCCACAGGTCTCCGGGGATTTAGGATGGGCAGGCAGACAGAATTCCAGAAGTTGATTCTGGGAGAATCAGTTCAGTTTTCCCAGAAGTGCCTCATGGGCAAAGCAGTTTCTGCCAAGCTATAAAACGGCTCACGCTGGCCCCTCCTACAGAGGAAAACCAGTGTCTCATCATTGTGCAGGTGCTGCCCCACAAAACAGGTGTGTTTGTGCCTTTGGATAACCTGTCACCAAACCTACAGTTCCTTACCATGTGCCTGCCCTTTTGTGCAGCTGCATACAGGCCCCAGAGCCAAGCAGAAGAAATGTAACCCTTGCCCAGGAGTGGATGTGACCACGACCATGCTTCTCTTAAATGTAAAGCAAGCAGAGCATCCAGGGGTTTCCTGTGTCCTCCGCCCCTCCCCGCTCGCAGGAGCGGGAAAGCTTCCCTCCCTCCTTTCACCCACCTGAATTTGCAGCGGGCAGACCTGAGCCGGCCTAAATTGGGATGCACAGATACTTCTGTGTCTGTCCCCTTATTCTTAAAACAGGACTAACCACAGCCCCGACACACAGCATCCGTAGAGTGATTGGATGAGGTTGCATTCAGGGAATGCTCGTCACAGTGTGGAAACACAAAAATGCTTCCTGCATTGATGCTGCTATGGTTTTTATAAATAAAACATGTTAGAATAGGAATAGATCTTGTTAATACTCTTTTTAAAACTTTTTTTGATGCCCGACACACATAAACTGTCTTTGGATGGTCTCAGGAATCTCAGAACCATTTATAACAGACCCAAACCCTCAAATTGCCCCTGAGTTTTGGAGGACAGCTTGATGATGTAAGTGACAAGCCCCTGTATCCCCTAGAGAAGGGAGAACATTCTTGGCTACTGTTGAGTTAAAGTGAATGGTTTCTTGGGACACTCCTGTGCAAGTTTATCACTTAGATTTCCAGGCTGGTCAGATGCCTCTCTCCAGGCACGAGCTAGCACATTTGCAGGAATAACGCAGGGGCTGCCGCTTGGAGAACGCCGGGAGTTCCCAGGGGGTAGCAGGGAAGTGTGGCTGGCTGCCCACAGGCCCCACTTGGGCTGCCGGCACCTCAGCCTGCTCTGCAGCCTCACTGGCTCTGGGGCCTCATTTTTGTCAGTGTGCTGAGAGGTTATTAGTCTCTTGCACAGGGTCCCCCGGGGCCCCAGCACATAGACCACTCTAAATCAGCAGGCCCAGGGCTCAGGTGACTGCACCTGTGCAGTCCCCTCTGCATGAATAAGGAGCCGGCAGGATGCCAAGTGCAAGGCCAGTGAGTGCGGGTCTCCCGGGCTCCCTCTGTTCGCACCACGTGCAGTGGGTGCCACCAGCCTCCGCCTCGCCCTCACCGTCTCCCATTTTCTCCTCACATGGTCTCTCTGTGGGAGGGTGTCAGCTGCTGCTCTGTTCCTCTTAACAATCCCACAGGAGACCTGCCTCTCGGGGACGCCTCACCAGTGCCCTGGCTGGGCATTTGTGCTGTTCCTACTCTGCAGTCACACGTGCTCTCACAAGTGGCCAGTCGCACCTATTGGGTATGGGTTTCATGTGTCTTAGTCCCCGAGAGCAGCACCCTTGAGAGAGATGTACGGCGTGTGCCAGTTTTGGGGCCAGATCCACCCCGCCACTCCATACGGCTGGCTAGACAGCAGTTACAACACGGTAACAGACAGAGCAAACACGTGCTACACAGCTGCAAGGGCCCGTCCTGGAAGAGCAGGAGCCTGCCCCGTCCCCACTGACCCTGCTTTGTGTTGCAGTTCGTGACCAGCTGCTCCAGACCCCCGCTCCTGGGATTCGCCTACCTCAAGCCTCCATTCTCCATCCGCTGCGTGGAGGTGTCGGACGATCAGGTACCCCCACGGGGTGGGTGGGGAAGAGCCTTGACTTCCCTCTTGGTGGTTGTCTGCTGTGCCCACTGTGCAAGGCCCTTATCTAGTCCATATCTCAGCAAGGCAGGCAGCTGGACCCCTCAGAGCCAAGTGAGGAGGGCCCCACAGTTCTCACGGCAGGAGAACCAGCCAGCCCCAGAGAGACTGCCCACGGACTCAGCCCTCTCTCGGCAGCCCCTTTCTCTTTCCTTCCTCAGGGAAGGGTACCTGGAGTGGGGGTGGGTACGTGCTGTTTTTAGTGGCGTCTGGCCTCACCAGGGCTCCAGATCTGAGGCAGCATGGGAGAAAGTGAGAGAGTGGGCTCAGGAGGCAGGCAGGCGCAGACTCGAATGCTACTCCTACCCCAGCAGGCTGTGCACGTCCAGGCTCGCTGCTTCATTTCCTCATTGGCCAAAGGAGAAGGAAAGCCTTCAGGGTTACGGAGCTCTGTGTGTCTCAAGCCTGGCCCACTGTGGGTGCTCAAATGAGAGTCCTACTCCCCATAAAAACCCAGTGGCCGCCTCTGGGTGTAGCTGCCTCTCATGATGCAGTTTGAGCCCGTGATGCCACCTTGTACAGGAAGCTACACAGTCCTCGGCCTCCATGCTTAAGGGAAAGTTGGCCCAAGTCATGGTCTGCCACCGGCCACAGCACCGGTGAGGAGGGAGGAGTGCATTCAGAAATGTTTGGGCACCTAACAGTTTTTACAGCATTCTACTTTTTGTCAATTGGTTAACCAGTAATTCGCTGTGAACCGGAAGGCCCCATTTCCAAAAGCTTACTTAGTGCAGGAATTCTCTGTGCAGGCCCCAGGGAGAAGGGGTTCCTTCTCTGGAAGCCAGTCGTCTTGTGTCTGGGGCTTGACCTCGGGTAGTGGTGCCAGGGCAGCGCCCTGCACTCTGCCCAGCATCCAGGGACTGGCCAGATCCCCTCCCTGGGCTCCCTGGCCTTGGCATCAGCCTGGGCTCCCAAACTAGGCCCTTCCCAATTCAAGGCCACGATGTGTGCCTTCAGGACACCGGGGACACTCTGGGCAGCGTCCTCCGGGGCTTCTTCACCATCCGCAAGCGGGAGCCAGGCGGCCGCCTGCCCACCTCCTCCACCTGCTTCAACCTGCTCAAGCTGCCCAACTACAGCAAGAAGAGCGTCCTCCGCGAGAAGCTGCGCTACGCCATCAGCATGAACACGGGCTTTGAACTCTCCTAGCTCCTGTCCCAGCCCTGCCTCCAGGGCTCCTGGGCTGCCAGGGACCTTCAGCTCCCAGAGGCAGTGTGGTCCTGGGAATGTGACCAACATGCCAGGTGACATTGGCCCCTAGACCCTCTCTATAGCCATGAGACTCCTTGTGGCCTCAAGAAATTTAGACGCCCACGACAGCACTACACAGCATCTCCAGGTGATGCCCAAGGCACAGGGCTGCAGAAAATAAACCTCCAGATTCCACCAACACGGGTCCATTCTTCCTGGTGATGGCAGAGGGGCTTCTTTTAGCTAGTTTGATCTTTTGGGAGTCTGTCTTTCCTTAGCCGTCTGAGTGAGCTGTGTATGAACAAGTCCCAGGAGTTCCAAGAGTCTAGAGTGGTTTTTGCAGCATGGGTTGAGTGTACAAAGCCTACTGTGCGTGAGATCCTCTCCTTCCGTTTCTGAAATCTCTTACTCAGGTAAGGCCTCGCCAAGCCTCTATGCACCCCACAAAGTTTCTGCCTCCATGCCGTCCACAGCGCCTCTTCCCAGACAGCCAGGCCCATCTGCTGCCCAGGGAAGCGCAGGCGCCTGCTAGGGACGCTATGGACACCGTGAGTCCAAGGCGCTGCTCCTGCCTTGAAGCCACGCGCTCCACGCCGCGGCCCTCCCATTTTCTGCGTCCTCAGCGGGCTGAGCTGCCAGAGAGTCTTCCCGGACCTATTCCCGTCCTATGCATTCACATTGGCATCCTGGTTTGGGGGAAGAAAAACAACGGCCCTTAGCAGCAGCCCCGTTTCCAGAATGTGCTGCCTGTTCCCCAAAGCCTGCTTGTCCCGCGGAGGACGGCTGCCTTTGACCCTGCTTATTTGTCTCACTGGTTATCTAATGAGGAACAAACACTAACCTAAGGTACACATCCCATCTGGGCGGTGGCTTCACTCCTGAGTCTGCAAAATCCCAGGAAACTTGGGTCTTGCTGCCCATCCTTCCTCAGCACAGGGAACCCGGAAGCCCGTTGCACTGACAGAGGCTCACACCCTCTGGGTTTTTTGTTTTTTTTTTAAACTTCATTTCTCTTCCAACCCATTGTGTTCCTCTGCCCTCATTCTTTACCTTTGTTGTAAGAACTTTAGCTCCAGGGAACTGAGGCAGAGGCCCTGTTTGTGGTCTGTGTTGACAGCCACCCACCCTCTCCCACCTCATGCTCCTGCACCTGCACCACCAAGGTTGATGCCGGATTCGAAGCCAGGAAGGCCCAGTCCCTCCTCTGCTCTCCTCAAAGACGCAAAACATTTTCCAACAAGAGCTGTCACAGTGGCAGCAAAGCAGGGGCCACCCGTCTCCACAGTCCTTCAGAGTTTCAGCTGCATCCTGGTGTCCCACCCAGGTCGAGCCCCCAGGCTTCTGGAAAAGAGTGTGTGCTCTACTTTGATGGAAACATGGCAAGGAATTTAAAGACAGGAATGTATTAATATTATTGAAGGTGTGTTCGTAACCTCTGATTCTGTGGACTTGCCACTTTCTCCAAACGCTCGGTTCCTTTGAAGATTTCTTCTGAACGTGTGTGCGCACGCTGGGCGGGTTCGTGCATACATGCGGGGACCCCAGACTGTCAGCACAGGGAAGATGGATCCCATCCTAATTTTTATCACCTGAAGGTTGGAACCAGTGAGGGACTGGGAGAGAGTGATTTATAAGCACCAATATCAACTTCATGTGGATTTTTGACAAGGAGGGGTAGTTTGTAATTTCATTTAAATTCTTTTCAGCAGCTGGAAATATTGCACTATCTGAAACACTGAATCTCCTTTTGTAACTGGTGTTCACTGACACCTTGATGGCTCTTGATGGCTCTAAAAAGTTGTAGGATTTTTTGTTTTTGTAGCTAACTTATGGATTGAGATGTGATCAAAGGCTTTATTAAATTTGTACTTCAGCATATGATGGCTGCGTTCTGCATTTCATTCCGCCATATGCCTGGACCGTTCACACTTGGGTATCTGGGCTTAGGGAGCATGTAGGCTTCCACAATGGAGGGAAGATGTGGAGGGGCGCAGAGCACATGTCCTCATCTCCCCAGCCAGAGTTCAGGGATGTTGGCAGTCTGTCCTATTTGCTTCCAATTGTGTTTCAAGAAGTAACACATTTCAGATGAGCACCCTCTATGGGCCCATCCCTCTCACCCACTTCCCAGAGGCAGCTGTCACCATAGGTTGGGTGTATATCTTTGCAGTCCATGTTTTACACAGTAATATTCTTTTTTTGTTTTTTTGAGATGGGGTTTTGCCATGTCACCCAGACCAGTCGCGAACTCAGGGGCTCAAGTGATCCGCCCACCTTGGCTTCCCAAAGTGCTAAGATTACTGGCATGAGCCACCATGCCCAGCCAGTAGTAACTTTCAAAAGTGATCAACGGATGTTGAACAAACCCAGATAAGTGTCTGGAGTGAAATTTTACAGCTACTTCTGGGTGTGCCAGGCGTTGTTCCCTTAGTGAGGATTGCACTTGCTGTCTCCCCACAGGACACGCAGCCGTTCTCACTGCATTCCCCAGCCAGGTTTCCTCCGCACCAGGAGCCCAGGTCAGACCTGCCAGGTGTTTGCCCCGCCTTGGTGCTTCTGTCCTGACCCTCGGCAGCTCTGAAGTCCCAGTGGCTTCTCGCTGCTCCCCTGGCCTGGGAAGCCCCTGAGGATCAGAGCACAAACTTGGCTTGTTAGGATCCAGTCAGGAAAGAACCCTGGAGAGGCTTGTGGCCTCTCTGGAAGTCAGATGTCTCAACACCCAAGAAGAATTCATGCACGCAGGCGTCCTCACAAGGAGCGTTCATGTAACTAAAAGAAAAAACAGTGTAACCACCTGCCTCCCCAAAACACACATCGCCAGCCTCCAGTGTGAGGCACACCCACCTAAAACTAAAGCTTTATTCTGTGACATTCTGGCTTTTGTTTTGTTTTGTTTTTTTGAGATGGAGTCTCGCTGTCGCCCAGGTTGGAGTGCAGTGGCGCGATCTCAGCTCACTGCAGGCTCCGTCTCCCAGGTTCACACCATTCTCCTGCCGCAGCCTCCCACATAGCTGGGACTACAGGTGCCCGCCACCTTGCCTGGCTAATTTTTTGTATTTTTAGGAGAGACAGGGTTTCACCGTGTTAGCCAGGATGGTCTTGATCTGACCTCATGATCCCCCCGCCTCGGCCTCCCAAAGTGCTGGGATTACAGGCGTGAGCCACCGCGCCCGGCCAACATTCTGGCTTTTACTTACAAGTTATCACTACAAAGAGAAAGGATGTCTTTATAACCAGGAAAAATAAGTGAGTTTTTAAAATTATTTAAATGGAAATATAATTGTAATATGCTGACAGAACTTGCAAGTGCCTAAGAATAATTAGCTGGAACAGAGTTTGAGAAGCGCTGGCCTCCACTCTTCTGACAGCAGCAGAGCCTGTTAGCAGACAAGGCACTGCTGAAAGCCATAGGGTCTGGACAGCTGGGTTCTCGCCAAGCTTGGCGAGTAAATCCAGGACCCCCTTAAGCCTCAGGCTTATCTCCTGGAAACTTATCAAATTGGCCAGAGTGGCCGGAGAACTGTGGAAGTGGTTCCTTCAGTGCTGTTTTCCAAGAAGCAGAGCGTGGGCTCTGGAATCGCAGAGATGTGTGAGCAAACCCCAACCCTCCACTTCCTGCCCCACGTGGAGGGCAGCCTCCCTGTGTGTTCCTTATCTAGAACACAGGAATCTTGATGTCCCCTCCAGAGCACGTGAGGATTAAATGCAGTTACATATGACGCACCCAGCGCAGCACCTGGCACCAAGTACGCATCCGTTAGTCCTCTTCCTACATTTCCTCACCTTTCACTTTAAGAAAACAGGGCTGCCCATGACCCTGGAGATCAGGCTCGGATTAAGCTTCCAGAGTGGCTCCTGCTGCTGCTGATGATCCCAGCAGGGTGAGGAGATGCTGGATGGAGAGCAGTTATCTGTTGCACTTAGGCAAGATCGGAGGAAAGTCACATTCCCTCATCCACACTGCCGCCTCTGAGGAATCGTCTGAGTAGCACAGAACAGAAGCAAAGTGCCTTTCAGCCAGAAGGATCCAGCCAAGGCGTTTCCAGGCCCCTGTGGCCTCAGGGCACCTCACTGTGCCCCCTACACTGCACATACAATCGCTTGGACTGTGATTCAGAAGAAGCTGCATGGCCAGGCTCGGTAGCTCATGCCTGTAATCTGAACACTTTGGGAGGCTGAGGCGGGCAGATCCCCTGAGGTCAGGAGTTCCAGACCATCCTGGCCAATACGGTGAAACCCTGTCTCTACTAAAAATACAAAAATGACCTGGGTGTGGTGGCGCACACCTGTAGTCCCAGCTACTCGGGAGGCTGAGGCTGGAGAATTGCTTGAACCCAGGAGGCGGAGGTTGCAATGAGCCAAGATCACACCACTGCACTCCAGCTTGGGTGACAGAATGAGACTCCGTCTCAAAAACAAAAAAACCCCACAAAAACAAAACTGCACAGCAGCCTAGGCGGCATTCATAGTTCTCACCACCCTCTGGAGCGTGGGGTCAGAATGGCATCCTTTGCTTCACGGCAGTCATCCTGACTGTTACACTTGTTGAGAGCATGTGCTCCAGAGCCCCAGCTGAGTGCAGATCTTACGAGGGCATTAGAGAGAGCAAGAGCCTCAGAGCATCCTGCCGCTGGGTGCAAACCCCAGCTCTGCCGCCCACGATCTGGGAGGCCGGTGGAAAGTTTCCTGGCCCCTCAGACCTGCAGTTTCCTCTTCCATGAAACGAGGATAGCAGCACCCACCATGCAGTCTTGCCGTGAACCACAGAGAAATGGGCTGAAAAGCCCCAGTCTGTGCCATCTATGAGCCATCAATGACTCATGGCTGTGATAACTGTCATTATTTTGTTCCAGGGATCGAATTGACATTCCTTCTGGAGTTTGTTTTTGAAACTCCTTGCAAGACGCTTTGGCTGACGTTAACAGGACATCCCGGGGATCCTCTGCTGGGCTTCGCTCAGCCCCTGGTGTGCAGGCTCCCTGTGTGCCCACACCCCAGCTATTCCCGAGCTTCCATTATGCACTGGGGGCAGCAGCTCCTCCACCCGGGGACCAGCAGTTGCAGTTCCATCATGCTTTTCTTACCGTGACAGTCCAAGTGTTTTCTGAGCTGTAGGGAGACTCAAAGCCTTGGGCATACTGGGATGGGGTCTGTGTCAGCTTATAGACCTTCCACCGAGAGAGCCAGCCTGCTGGAGCCCACCAGCAACGACAGAGAAACCTCTCTGAAGATGTGCCCTGCCTCCTTGACCCCAGAGAATCCTGCAGAGGAAGCTGAAAGCGTTCATTCTGCTGCCGAAGTCTTCTGCTCCTTGGCTGCCCCAGGCCCTGAGTCTGCCTAGATGTATGTGCAGGGTTTGGGTGGGGGATTTTTGGTTTTTGTTTGTTTGTTTTTTGAGACAGGGTCTTGCTGTGTTGCCCAGGCTGGATCAAGATTGCCCAGGCGCAATCTTGGTTCACTACAACCTCCGCCTCCGAGGCTCAAGCAATCCTCCCACCTCAGCCTCCCAGGTAGCTGGGACCACAAGTGTGCATCACCACAACCGGCTAGTTTATTTTGTATTTTTTATAGAAACAGGGTTTTGCCATATTGCCCACGCTGGTCTTGAACTCCTGGGCTCAAGCAATCCACCTGCCTTGGTCTCCCAAAGTTCTGGGATTACAGGCATGAGCCATTCACTGCACCGGGCCCCCTATGTGCAGGGTTACCAGTCAGGCTGCCTTCTCCAAATGCTTCTAAATCTGGTTTTTATGGGGCCATGGCAGTGGCCACTGAGTAAAGGAAGACACTTGTCGGAATGGCACATGGATGTTTAAAAAACTCAGTGTTCTGGAAACCCAGTGTCCTTGGCCTTCAGACCACGGGCATGTGAAAGAGAAGCTATTGTGAAGTCATTCTGGCCCTTCCAGGACTGCCCCTCACACAGAGTCCTAAACTAGCCTGCCTTATGCTGGGGAGGGACAAGTTATTTTACAACAAGAACATTGTAGCCAGAACTTGTGTGTTGTAGCCAGAACTTGTGCTGTTGCAAAGAGCAGAAGCTGGCAGACCAGCTCAGAGCCAGAGCAGGTGGTGAGGAGGTATGAGAGCGGCTCTGGGACCCACGCAAGAAGTGCGGTGGGCGGGAGCTGAGGTGGTCCTCTCCTCCTCTTGGGCCACATGAGCCCTTCTCTGCACGTCTCTGGCTCCAGCGTCCCCATGAACTGCCTCTGAGTCCACCATCCTTGCAGCTATGCAGCCTTGCGCTCCTGGGGCCTCTAGCCAAACCACTGCTGCATCCCTCAGACCATGTTCCAGCGTGGTCCACCTGCCTGCGGCTGAGTGGCCTTCAGCTAGGGTCCCCTCACTAGTCTGGTCAGCTCTGATGAGACAGGCTAGGATCCTGCAGGCAGCAGGGGCTGTAGACACAGCAGTTCCCAGATAAAGAGGCCGCAGAAGACCAAGCAGTGACCCAGGCCGGTGACGGGCAATGTGGACTAGTGGTCAAGGGCACAGGCCTTGACCTTGGACCTGTACTTGAGCTCGGATCACCACACCCACCCTCAGTGACTTGAGAGTAGGCAGCATTTCACTTCTCGGAGATTCATTTTCCCCAGCTGTAAAGTAGTGAATAACAGTTCCTGCCTGCCATGAGGATTAAACGAGGTCACATCTGTTAAGCACCTGGCAAATTATAGTTGCCCAGTAAATGCTATCTCCCCTTCTTCCTTGGCCTTGGGGCCAGGCAGGGTGGAGTATTGGGTCAGAAGGTAACTCTCATTGCTGTTCTAAAACAATTCCATTGGCTCCTATATTGGTTTCCCATGGCTGCTGCAACAAATCACAACAAGCCGGGTGGCTTAAAACAACGGAAATGTATTCTCCTCGGACAGTTCTGGCCAGAAGCCTGAAATCAAGGTGCCCACAGGCAGCACTCCCTCTGGAGGCTCTGGGGAGAAGCCTGCCCTGCCTCTTCTAGCTTCTGGTGGCCCCTGCGTGCTTGGCTGTAACTGTATCACTCCCATCTCTGCCTCCATCCCCATATAGTCTTCCCTCTAGGGCTTCCTCTTTCTCCTTCTCTTAGAAGGACTTGTCCTTGAATTAGGACCCACCCTCACCCAAGATGATCTCATCTTGTGGTCCTTACCTTAATTACATCTACAAAGACCTGTTTCCAAAAAAGGTCCCATGCACAGGTTCTGGGGGTTAGCACTTGGACAGATTGTTCAGGGGGACACCATTCAACCCACTACAACTGTCTTCCAGAGCAAGTGTGGCAGGAGGTGATTCTTCATGCCATGAACCACCACATGCTCACAGATCCTAAACAATCTCATAGGGTGAGGGGGTGAAAAGGAGAATTGCTTATTCAAGGACGGGAAATATTTGGCGCCTGTGTCATCACTGCCTCCTCCTCACCCATGGCAGACATTACTAATTGATTCCTGCACTGTGTCTTCATGTGCTGCTTTCAGCAGTCCATGGGTATGGGCCTGGGAAGCTAAACCTGTTTGCCATTTCCTGGCTTATGTCTTGTCTCAAAAGTGTAGTAGAAATAATAATAGTCATAATTAACATTTACTCAGGTGCCAGCCACTTTTTCTTGGAATATGTCACCAAATCCTCTCAATAGCTCTGAGATCATACTATTAATCCCGTCCTCAAGATGGTGTATGGGTTGAATTCTGTCCCAAAAAAGATGCATCCTAACCCCCACTACCTCAGCATGTGGCCTTATTTGGAAATAGGGTTGTTGTAGATGTAACTAGTTCAGATGAGGTCATATAGGAGTAGGGTGGGACCCTAATCCGATGTGACTGGTGTCCTTACAGAAAGAGAGGACTCGGCCATGTGAAGACAGAGGCAGAGACTCAAGTGGGGAACCTTCAGGCCAAGGAACGCAGGGACTTCCAGCCATCACCCATAGCCAGGAGAGAGGCTAGGAACAGATTCTCCTTCACAGCCTGGAGAGGAACCAACCCTGTGAATCTCTTGATTTCAGACTTAACAGCTTCTAGAATTGTGAGAGGATGAATGTCTGCTGCTTAAGTCCCCGAGTTTATGGTGCTTTGTTCCGTCAGCCACAGGAAACTAGTATAGATTTTGAGACCAGACAGATTTGTCACACACCCAAGGTCACATGTTTGGAAGAGGTCAAACCAGGATTTGAACTTGGGCTGGTGGGCATCACAGGAACCGGCAGCTGCTGCTCAGCCCCAGCAGCTGGCCGCCCTGCCCAGGCTAGATACCATGTGGCCAGGCTCCCCACTTTTCAAAAGAAGCCACAAATTCCAATGTCTGTGAAATCTCCAGATTTAAAAATTGTTGGCAGATTGAAAATCTGAAACACCACTGTTCAGGCCTCGGGAAATACAGAAGGGCTGCGTGTGCGTGTGGCTTGTCTGAACACTGCAGATGTGTCAGACACTGGAGCCAAACAGTCTCCACAGTGTAGAGTGACAGGTGGAGCTGGACAAGATGATGTTCACTGGAATAATCCACGGACCTGTCACCAGGTGCCAGAAACCAGCCTCATGCAGACAGGCTCCAGGGGAGTGGCTCGGCACGGGGTCAGCGGCTGGTAACACAGCAGGACTCGGCTGAGGCCCTAACGGTTTGGGGTTGCATTAATTGTGGGAGAGTGTCTAGAGTGAAGGAGGTAATAGTCCTATTCTGTTCTCTGTGGCTCACACCCTACCTGGAATCGATCCTTTGTTTCTCTCCAGGAGCCACACTTTAAGAAGGATGCAGGAGGCTGGGCGTGGTGGCTCACGCCTGTAATCCCAACACTTTCGGAGGCAGATGGATGACTTGAAGTCAGGAGTTCGAGACCAGCCTGGCCAACATGGCGAAACCTCGTCTCTACTAAAAACACAAAAATTAGCCCGGCATGGTGGCAGGCACCTGTAGTCTCAGCTACTCTGGAGGCTGAGGCAGGAGAATCACTTGAACCCGGGCGGCAGAAGGTTGCAGTGAGCTGAGATTGCGCCACTGCACTCCAGCCTGGGTGACAGAGCTAGATTGTCTAATAAAAAAAAAAAGTGGGGGGTAGCAGGAAAAACTAGCCCACAGCCAGAGATGGTACCATAAGGAGGGTTGGAGCGGGCCTCTCAAAGCAAGCCTAGCAGTGTACCCAAGCTACATGTAGACGATGGGCCACCCGAGATGTTAGCAGCATCCTGAGGGGGTGTCGGCCTCTGTCTTGGAGGGTGCTGGCTTAAGGGTTGAGCCTCAGACTGCAGGGTGTGTTTGGGAAGCAGCTGCCCACAGCTCTGGTCATTAAAGAAGAGAGCGAGCTGGTTCTTCTGGCCCCAGCAATAACAACAAAACAACCTGGAGTATGGTCCCTGCAGCCCTTCCCAGACACAGAGTTCTCATTCTCCAAACGTGGACATCCGGAGGGACACACGGCCTTACGTGGCCACCAGCAGGCCATGGACGGACATTGCCCAGCCCACGTTGCTGCCACAGGTGGACACTCAGAGCGAGAGAGAGGGAAGTTGGGGTGCTGGTGGGAATGGGTGTGGACTGGAATGTTCTAGAGGTATGGGGGGCCTGAGACATCTTGTGAAGTGGGGCGGGGGGCGGGGCTTCTCCATGAGGCCAAAGGTGAGCAGGCCTCTGGGTGTTTCAGAAGAACTGCCCTGGCAACATGCAAGTACAGTTCTAGCAGAGACGCCAAATCAACTGTCAAAACCGAGCCACTGCCACCCCACAAAGCCAGGAAAAGCTTCTAACTGACAATCTTGGGTAAGTCGGCCCTCAGCCTCTGCATCTCCCACCACAGACCAAGGCTCCCAGATCCCCCCAGCCCATGCACTCCATGTGGTCCCCTCTGTGTGCCTGGATACATCGGGACTCTTGGGTGTCACTGGGGATTCCTGCCCTGCCACATGGGGTAAGCTACTGGTAATTACTCAGCTGTGGGAGCTCCTGGTCATCAGCCTTCAAACACAGAAACTCAGGTATTTTTCCCAGCAGACCCTGACCAGCCTCTGTATTTCTCCATAACGCTGGTCGGCTGGGCACAGCGATCTTGGCAACAGATTTTGCGAAATAAACTTGGTCAGTGGATCCCAGTCAACAAAATGTTTTTCCATCTGTTACCCACTTCCTCCTGCCTGTGAAGGGGCAGTGCTCTCTCCTTCTTATAGGTGAGGCTCTGAGAGGTGGAGTGAGTGACTTGCCCAGGGACTCAAAGCCAGGATATGAGGAACTGGGATGTAA
This sequence comes from Homo sapiens, assembly GCF_000001405.40. Classification (NCBI taxonomy): domain Eukaryota; kingdom Metazoa; phylum Chordata; class Mammalia; order Primates; family Hominidae; genus Homo; species Homo sapiens. The sequence continues at coordinate 109,545,031 of NC_000012.12, forward strand.
GCCCAAGCCTTTGACCAGGAAGGTGACCTCACTCACTCACTTGCCTTCCCTGATCGTCAGAGGCCTGGACAGAAGCCTTCTGTCTCCCAGAGGGGCTAGTCCCACTGACTCTCCTGACCTGCTCCCATCCCACTAGGGACACTGTCCAGGGGAGGGAGCACACCCCATGTGGGGCTTGGTGTGAAGTCTGCTGGGTGGCTTTGTCACATTGCAGATGGTGCCAGATGAGCCGGGCCCCGCCCAGGAAGCCAGACTGCCAGGGAGTTCAGACTCAGCCAACAAACAGACCCACAGGGCCTCCTGTGCCCCAGGCTGGGTGCTGAGTTACAGCCGTGCACACGGTGGACGTGATCCCTGCCCTACAGAGCTCACTCTCTGGTGGGAAAGAGTCAGAACTAATTCAAGGAGGAGGTGTATGGCCACATCCTGTGATCAGCGTCCCTGGCATCTAGTGCTGTGCTATTCTGATGCCCACTCAAGTGGGGAAAGCTGAGGTCAGGAGCTGGTCATTCCCATGCCCAAGGCCCCAGAGTCAGTTAAGTGGCAGAGCCAGGATTCAAACCCTGGTCTGCCACACTCCAGAGCCCTCACTCGGTTTGAGCAGGCAGAAGAGGGGTGGGAGAACATTCTAGGCAAAGGGCTCAGCTTGAGCCAAGCCCCAGGGGCTGCTCTGTCCCTTATCTGGAGCCCGCTGCCTCCACTGCTTGTCCCACTTACCCTTGCCGGGGATGCTGCAAACTGACAGACACACCCATTTTGCCAGTGAGTTCCCACAGCATTTTAAAGGACTTCTTCAGGACCCTAGAGCCCTGGTCTCCCCAAGGCTGCAGAGCAGCAGCTGCCCCCCAGGCACAGAGCTGAAAGGCAGAGCTGGATTTCAGGGTGTGCTGAGTAAAGGGCCGATCTACCCTGCACTTTGGAAGCTCACCGGGTAGAGGGAGGCCAGAGGAATTTCAGGGACTCCACGACTTCCTTAGCTTATCATTCATGTCCCAACAGGCTGCAGCCTGTCTCCCTACCAGCTAAGGCAGAGTTGCAAGTGGGACAGAATCAGTGCCCACTCCAAACATGGCTCCTTGGCTGCATCTGGGAACGGGTTCCATTAGGTGGTGTGTGGAGGGTCTCAAACATCTTAACAGTGATGGTGAATGCGCCAGTGCCTCTGCAGCAGGGGCCAGAGTTCCTGTCTCCCCTCCTGGTTTGCTATCACAGGGGCCCCTGGTGAATAGGCTGGGTGGCTCATCCCAGCGAGTGTTCAAACTCAAAAGCTGGATGGCTAGAAACTGCCCACCTGCACCAAACCACCATCAGAAGTGGTCTTTATCAGCCAGGGCAACAGAAGCCAGCTCTGCCTCACTTAGAAAAGAAATGTATTGGGCAGTATTGAGGGCTGGAAGCCCAGGCCACAAGCAGAATGGGAGCCAGGGCAGTTCAGGGGACCTGTGCAGTTCAGCCTGAAGCTGGGTCTCTTTAGGATGCTGTGGGCGTGAATGAACCAGCTCCAGCCAGCAACCCATCCTCGCTCAGTGCATGCAGGGGTCTTTAGGGAAATTCAGAGAAAATTCAGGGATTGAAGTAGACTGGGCAAGGCACTGATGTCATTCATTCTTTCATACTCATTTCAATAAATATTTTTGGGCACCTGCTGTGTGCACAGCCTGTTCTAGGCACTGGGATTCAATCTCATTTTGTTGTTCTTGAGACTGAGTCTCATTCTGTTGCCCAGGCTGGCAATGTGGCACGATCTCGGCTCGCTGCAACTTCTGCCTCCTGGGCTCAGGTGATCCTCCCACCTCAGCCTCCCGAGTGGCTGGAACTACAGGTGCACGCCACCACACCTGGCTAATTTTTGTATTTTTTGTAAAGACAGAGTTTTGCAATGTTGCTCAGGCTGGTGTTGAACTCCTGGGCTCAAGCGATCCTCCTGCCTCAGCCTCCCAAACTGCTGGGATTACAGGTGTGAGACACCACACCCAGCCGGATTCAGAGTATTTTGAGAGAGACAGACACCAAAGGAGAAACCAATAAGATAATTTCTGGTGTGTTGAAAATGAGACAAAGAGCCCCATGGAGATTGTATCCCATGGGAAGAAGTAAATCCTCAAAAAGAAATTGAAGCAATTGGATGGTGGGTCCCCAAACAGCAAATATCCACAAGAGGCGTCCTGCCCACACTGGCCCCAGGGCAGTGATCAGGATTCAGATTCCAGAACTAGACTAGAATTCAAATCTAGCCTCAGCCACTTTCTCATCACGACCTGGAGCAAGTCACTTCGTCTTTCCAAGCTTGCAAAATTGGGATGATCACTCTTCCCTGGTTGCTGAGATCAAACAAGGTCATACATGCAGTGCCGGCCATGCAGGCATCATCGAGTTCCATCCTGAGAACTCGATCACGTCCTGGGTGCATGTGCGCGTACGCGCGCACACACATGTACACACGCACACGCATGCATGCATGCACGGTGGGGCACCCAAGCCGATGCCCGCTCCTCGAGGCTGGGGGCTATGCATGCCTGACCCTCTGGTGTATTCAATTATAGGTTTAGCCACATTCATTCCTCCCTCCTTGTAGGTAAGATTTATTAAAATACCCAATCACAGAAATAGCCCTGCTCCCTGACAGCAGCCAACCCACAGCGAAACCACGTTTCCTTGAACCCTCCCCCAAACCCCAACACACGCCAAAACCCTATAATAAGTCCTTGCACAGACCCTCTTCCTGAGGCACCCCAGGTTCCCCACGGTGCGCGTGCTCCCTTATTGCAACAAGACAATAAATCTGACTTTGTTCGACTACAGGTGTGTTCTTGGTGGTCTTTGGCTGCAGGGCACTTTAAACCCAAAAATGTCCCCTGTACAAAATATTTGCAGCCACTTCAGGGGAGGGGAGCTGGAACTGGTTTGTCACACAGCTGGGAACAGCACCCCAGGGAACAACGCAATCAAAAGGAGGTGGTTTCCAGAGCTGCAGTCCCTAGACTGGGGATGGAGTGGGGGTGCGGGATGTCACACCATTTCTCACTGGCTTTAGTCTTAACTTTTCGTGCTTTAATGTGAAATGTAATTACAGATTCAGAGTTATGGTGGTGAGCTCGTCAGGGCTAATTAATTAGTCAGATTTATAAGTATTTGGTTCTCAGAGATCAATGACCCTGATGGGTCGCCTGAAAGCTCTGAGAAATCCCCTTCCTGATAGCTAGTTTTCTTGGGGAGCGGTGGGCTTGGGAGAGCTGCTTTTGCTTTGGCGGCTGGTTGAGAGGGACAGCCTGACCACTCTCAAGCAGCCTGGAGACCATAGGTGCCTCTGAAGTCCCCACACCTTTGAGATCTGTGAGGGCTCTGCCCTAGGAATCAGAAATGTCAAATAGAGGCCACTCGCTCCGCTGCCTCTCCCAGAGGCCACGGCAGACATTAGTAATGGATTCCCAAACCCCTCCCTGTTGAATCTGGACCCAGCACAGCCTGCCAGGCAATCACTTGGAATTGGTGTCTCTTTCCTACCCCTGGGATAAGTCCTTCCCTGCTCTCAGCAGAACAGAAGAGAAAGGAAACTGGATTTTGACACCAGAGGCTGGGATTGAGGTGGGTTTTGCCACTTGCTAACTGGCACACTGGGCTCATCACACTACCTATGGGGGTGCCACTTATCCAGGAAGAGTTAGGGTGATAATCCAGGATGAAAATCTCTATGAGATCACAAACATGAAGGTTCTCTGTCTACTCTCAACCCCTGTACAAGATAAAGATGGGGCAACCAACAGAGGAGGAAGAGATGCCAACATCTCAACATAGTGGGGAAAAGCTGGCGCAGCGATCCCCCAGGGGCAGCTCAGTGGAGGCAGGTTCATTTTTCTTTCAACCTCTTTTGCCCTAGAATGGAAGCCAGGCTTCTACATGCACGCTGGACTCTGCACAGCCAGCTGCCTCCGACAGGGAAAACGGTGCACATTCTCCAGGCTTCCAGACTTCGGGGCTCCCTGATGGCTTTGGCTACTGGAGGGTACCCTCCCCACATGAGGGGGCTGGAATGTATCAGGGAGTATCACCCTCTAAGAAGCTTCTCTCTAGTCTCCAGCCATCCCACGGGAGGTAGATGGTTTATTTACAGGCAGAGAAACCACTTGTCAGTTTCCTTTCATTCATGTGTATTACACAGTAAGCCTTTTGTCAAATCCAGCCCAAATTCATTGTAGAAAAATTAGAAAATCCAGACGAAATGAAAATGAACATTAAAACCACCCATCTTCCCACCACTGAGAGATACATATTAGTAACACATGCATTTTTCTATGGTATATAAACACATGTATGTTTCTTTTTAGGATTTGGGTCATTCTATATGTAACATTTTGCAATTTAGGTTTTTTTTTCACTTTATAATAGTGAACGCCCTTTCATAGAAGTAAATATGTAGACACCATCATTTTCAGTGGCTTTATGGTATTTCTTACAGTCCCTTATTGTTAATATTTTACTTATTTAATTATCCAGCTCCCTATTGTTGGACATTGTCTTCCAATTTTTCACTGTAATGAGCAGCACTTTTCTGCACTGGAAAAAACAAAAACAAAAACAAAAAACCCTTGCAGTTTCACCAGTGTGACTATTTCCTGCACTGAAAAAACAAAAACAAAAAAGCCAAAAAAAAAAAAAAAAAACTCTTGCAGCTCCACCAATGTGTCTATTTCCTTCACAAAAATTCTCAGACACAGAGTTGCAGGACTGTAAGGTACACACCTCTCTAGGACTTTCATGCACATTGCCAAATTGCCCTCCTGAAAGTTCATACCGATCTCCACTCCCTGCAACCGTGAGAGTCAACATTTCTCTCTCCCCGCTGAAGTCAGCAGGTGGAAAGCCATAGGCTCAGGACTCTTTCCAGCTGCTGGGATCCTGCAGCTGGACCCCCGAGGGCCATAGAAATACAGTTCTCTCTCTTCCACTCCCCAGTCAAAGCACCTTGAGAGAGTCCCTGGCCGGGCCGGGGCAGGGTCCTGAGACCACCTGGCATGCCCACTCGCAGCCCTTACCTCCTCCCTCTCCCTGTGCACGCCTGGATGTCTTTTCTCAAGGCCCGATGCTCACACCGTGTGGCAGGGTAGCAAGCTTTTGAGTTATAGTGAACCTTATTTCCCTCTACAGCTCCCACGGAGTTAACAGATGTACGCACGTCTGAGGCAGTCATGCGGCAAGAGACTTTGGGCCCAATCCTTTCTGTTTTGACAGTGTGTAATCGAGGTGAAGCCATAAATTTTATAAACAAGAATAAACGACCCTTAGCAACATATGTCTGCTTGACCCTTCCAAGGTGATTGTAAATAAAGGCACCTGCTGACCAGTGAGGGCCATCGGCACTGCAGATGGACAGTGATGAGAGCCGAAGGACCGGTGCCTTGGGAGCTTGCACTGGGAGGCATTTCGGCAGTGAGGGGCGGGGGGAAGAGGTCACCTTGCCCCCCGCTCGGGTCCTGAGTCAGTTAGACACCTTCATGCTACTTATGTACTCCGTTCTCCAGGGTGCCTTTGCCCCGTGCTGCCTTGAATTGGCATTTGCTTCTTACCCTTCCTCGGAGAGGACACTTGTAGCTGTGGCAACTAAGTTCCTCCTGGGGGTTTGTTTTTGAGACAGGGTCTCGCTTTGTTGCCCGGTCTGGAGTGCAGGGGCACGATCACAGCTCACTCGGCCTCAAGCTCCTGGGCTCAAGCGATCTTTTCACCTCAGTCTCGAGTAGCTGGGACTACAGGTGCGCACATCAATCCTGGGCTTTTTTTTTTTTTTTTTTTTTTAAAGAAACAGGGTCTCACTATGTTGCCCAGGCTGATCTCAAACTCCTGGCCTCAAGTGATCCTCCCGCTTTGGTCTCCCGACATGTCAGGAGTACAGGCAAGAGCCACCGCACCCAGCCTCTTCCAGGTTTTTGGTAGTCCCTTCACTTCCCCCAGAGAAGAAGCCCTGACCCACTTGATTGCCAGTCACGCCCTCACTGCCAACTGTGCCAGGGCGGCCACCCCACGGGGACCTGAAGAGTAGGGTCCTTGTCTTGGCTTTGCCTCTGCCCACAGGGAGCATGCTGGAGACAGGCAGATCCGAGTTCAAATCCAAGTTGGACTTCTTCCTCTCTGCGTGACACCAGCCAAGGTGCCGTCTCCCTGTGCCTCGGTTTCTGAGTCTATGACGCAAAGGTACTAACATCCACTTGGTGGGGTTGTTATGGGGAATACATGCCAAGCATGCAAGGAAGGTGCTCTCCAAGGTTAGCTATGCTGAGATGGTTTAAAAAGCTCTGGTGGTAAGGAGAGCTTAGTAAGTGTCAGCTGTTGACAGTATCATTATACCCAGTGTCACCCCCATGGACACTGTGTGACTTTGAGCAAGTGACTTTACCCTTGGAGCCCCCGTTTCCTCACCTGTGAAATGGGGAGGATAATTGTATGTACCTTGTAGGGTTCTGAGAACTAGAAAGACATGAACACCCTGGCACTGTAGTACAATTGAGCATAGAGCTAGGTGTTGAGGAAATGCCTGTCATGGTGTTTGAGGCACAGAGCCCTGATTTAAAGCCTGGTTCTGCCTCCTAGCTGTCTGACCTTGAGAAACTCCTATCTCCTCTCTGGGCCTCAGTTTCCTCATCTGTAAGTTGGGGGTGATAATATTAATAGTTCCACCTCCATGAGCTCTTGACATAATTAAATGAACTATTGAATGTAAGGTTCTTAGCAAGATGCCTGGACATAATCAGTGCTCTATGTGTGGTCCTTATTAAGATGTACTTATTAAGTTCTCCTCTCTGCTGGGCAAGGTGGCTCACGCCTATAATCTCAGCACTTTGGGAGGCCAAGGCAGGTGGATCACTTGAGGTCAGGAGTTCGAGACCAGCCTGGCTAACATGGCGAAACCTTGTCTCTACTAAAAATACAAAAAAAAATTAGCCAGGCATCGTGATGCATGCCTATAATCCCAGCTACTCAGGAGGCTGAGGCCGGAGAATCACTTGAACCCAGGAGGTGGAGGTTGCAGTTGAGCCGAGATCACGCCATCGCACTCCAGCCTGGGTGACAGAGCAAGACTCGGTCTCAAAAAAAAAAAAAAAAAAGGCCAGGCGCAGTGGCTCACACCTGTAATCCCAGCACTTTGGGAGGCCGAGGTGGGCAGATCACCTGAGGTCAGGAGTTTGAGGCCAGCCTGGCCAACATGGTGAAACCCCATCTCTACTAAAGATACAAAAAATTATCTGGGTGTGGTAGCATGGGCCTGTAATCCCAGCTACTCAGGAGGCTGAGGCAGGAGAATCGCTTGAACCCGGGAGGTGGAGGTTGCAGTGAGCTGAGATCATGCCATTGCACTCCAGCCTGGGTGACAGGGTGAGACTCCATCTCAAAAAAAAAAAAAAAATAGTTCTCCTCTCCAGGCCTCAGTTTCCTCATTTATAAAATGGGAGCAATGATGTCTGAGACCGTGTTCAGCTCTCATTGTCCTGCAATTCACTCTCACTTTCACTTTGGCCCTGTGTTCCTGGAGCCACATCCCCATCTTCTCATCTGATTGTGCCTGGCCACCTCTGGAGGCCACCTGTCTCCCCCACCCACTCAGCAAGCCTGAGGGGCCAGAGGTGCTGCCATGCTGTCCTCAGCGTCACCTGGGGATGAGCTTTTAGAACGTGCTTTGAAAAGGGTCAAATATGATTGAACAACAATAGCTATTTTTTGGAGCTGCTATCATGTCTGGGGCCTGTGGACTTATTTCTGAACTCTTGGAAATTGGTATTATTATCCTATTATAAAAGATAAAGAGGCTTTGAGTGGTTAAACCATTTGCTTAAGGAGATGCTGGAAGTGACAAAGATGGAATCTGAATTCAAATAGTAGTAGTAATAGCAAACAACTGTAATAACAGGAGCTAATATTTGCCAGGGGGCAATATTACTCTTTTAAGTATTACCTCATTAAACAATCCCAGTGACCCATGGGGTGGATGTTATGATTCCCATTCTATAGGTGGAGGAGCAAGACCGAGACAGATGGAATGACTTGCCCAGTCACCAAGGCAGGAGGTGACAAAGCTGGCCTTGAACCTGAGCCTGCCTGGGGCCAGTGCCCAAGCCAGCTGTTTGACAGTCCTTCCCTGCACCCCACAACCCTACAAGCATCAAAGGTCACCCAGCAGCCTCTCCCAGCCAGCCCCAAGTGCATCTTCTCACCCTTCCAGGCTGGAGCTATCTGACCCTGAAACAGGCTGCTGAAGGCAGCCTTGGGAATCCTGACTTAGCTCCCGAAGAGGGTCGCATGGGTTCTCTTAGAAAAGGGATTCTTACCGGGAGGTTCCATGGACTTCCTATGACTGGATGCAAACTTGTGAATATGTGTGTGTGCATTCCAAAGGTGACAAACCACAGCTTGAGAAGTTTCTGATTCTGTGGAATGGGAGAACACGAGGGATGTCCCCAAAGTTTCTAGGTCTCCGCAATCTGCCTGTCCCTGCCTCTGTTGGACTTTAGCACTATCTTCCAGGAGGACTCTGAGAGAAGAAAAGCAATAGGCCAAGGCAAGTTAAAACTGTGCCGCCTGCCTCTAGCTGGACTGACTGCAAAGATGCATTTATTCCAGCTTGTGTCAGTATTGCCAGAAGATTCTCAGGCCCCGCCAGAGGGGAGGGATGAGCCACAAATCCTTCCAGGCACTGATTTATGTAGCATTCATGCGGAATTTATTATACAAAGAATTTTATTCAATTAAACTTGAAATGCATCTGGATTCTTAAAGGTTCAGTAGTGATCACTGGGACAGGGCGATCATAAAACTGAATGGGCTGTCGGAAGGTGTCGAGGCAGCAGCAAGGGTGACATTGCCACTGACGGGGGCTTCCGAACTGGGGACGTTTGTCATTGGGATGTGTTACAAGTTCGGGCTGTGGAAATTACTCGATGAAAAACGCACATTAACGATAGCCATGAAATATTAGTTAAGGGAAACTAGGTTGAGAAATGAGACAGCAGGATCTATCAGAGCCTGGCATTGTTCGCCACAGCCCAGGTAGTGATTAAAACGACTGTCAAGCGGCAGTGGGTGGGAGCTGAGGAGCACGGGGCTGTGAGTGACGAGGCCGCGTCCGGGGCTCACATCTTGGCACTGACTCCCCAGGACAACTTGGTTCCCCACCCAATGCCTCCTTCCAGGGCTGCTATGGGGTTCAAATGAGATAATGTCTGTGGAACACTTGGCTCAGGGCACTGCACATAGCAAGCCCTTCCACAGTGCGGGCTGGTGTCACTGTGACTGTGGGCTTCTCTCTGACACAAGAGCCAACTGCCAGCTTGTCTCTGGAAATGACACTAAACACCCCATTCCAGGGAGCCTGACCTGGAGGCGGAGGAGGCATTTTCATGGGTGCAAAATGTAAGGAAGTGCCCACAAACTCAGGGATCGAGTAGTATTTGTGTGCAATATTTTCCAAAATCAAATTATGAAAAAAATCTACGATAAGCAAGGGATCACGACTTTAAATAAAAACAGGCTGCTGTTTGTTTCAAAACCCCGTGTTCCCGTGCAATGGGACTGATTGTTTCTGAGAGTTGCCAGTGGTGTGCAAACACTGGGGCAGCGGGGGCTTCGCAGTCACATTTCCTGACTGTAGGGCTTTCATTAACTTTTCCCACCTGGTTCAAAATATGGGAGGACATTTGCTCAGTGTACAGAGGGGTACACATCTTTTCTTTTGCCTCGGGCTCTTGATAGAGCTTTTGAAAGGCACTGCAGAAGAGCAAATGTTTTAAACACCCCATCCTTCCAGCCCCCAAAGCAAGCTTTCTCCATTTTTCCCAGGTTGGTAGCACAGGAGAGAAACACCTGCTGAGTGGTGGCATCTGCCCTGCACCCAGGTGGTTTCTCAGAGAAGTGTTTGCTGGTGAACCGGGAGACAGATACAGAGGCGGGGGTCTGAGAACGCGACTGTTAACATCCAGGCTGTGACACCCGGTCCTGGAAGGACAGGACTTGGCAACAGGTGAACGGCCTTGTTTCAAAGATTGTCACTTTAGGATGTTGTATTTACTCAAAAAGCTTTCCTTATCCTTTGGAGGCTGTGCTTTCCCATGGCTAGGCATGCAGGGCTGCTGTGTTATTTTATATATATATATATATTCCAGGAAGATTTTGAGATTTTGAGGTGTAGACAGAATTGAGTGATTCGCTGCAAGCTCTTTGAACATACTCCCTGACCGAGCCTTAGTGATTGCGTTTTCAGGGTTTTTTTTTTTTTTTTTTTTTTTTTGTGACGGAGTCTCACTCTATCAGCCAGGCTGGAGTGTCGTGTCACGATCTTGGCTCACTGCAGCCTCTGCCTCGTAGGTTCAAGTGATTCTCCTGCCTCAGCCTCCTGAATAGCTGGGATTACAGGCACCCGCCACCATGCCCAGCTAATTTTTTTTTTTTTTTTTTTTTTTTAGCAGAAATGGGGTTTTACCATGTTGACCAGGCTGGTCTCAAACTCCTGACCTCAGGTGATCTGCCTGCCTCGGCCTCCCAAAGTCCGTTTTCAGCTCTGTTTTGCAAACACTGAGCACCGACTCCGTACCAGACCTGGTAGTGACGATGGGGGCAGGGAGGCACGGAACAAAGCCACCTCCTGGAAGGCATTCACACACTCCTGGTCATCTGCACCTCACCCACCCTGCCCAAGGCTCAAGAGGGCCATCACAGCCTGTCAGCAATGAAAGGACCCAGAAGACACAAGTGAATATACCTGGCCCTCCTGCAAACTTTGCAGGCCAGGTGGTAAGAATGAAGGCAAAAATATGCACGTGACTAAGAAGGTAATGTTTGCTGACTTGCCAGCAAGAAAGATGGCCGGAAAGACCAGCTGTCCCGAGCCTAGCGCGGTGGCCCATGCTAAGCAGCCACTCAGTCAATATGTGATGGCTGAATGGAGTTCGCCAGGCATTTCAGCCCTGAAACTGGACAAGAGCCTGCCCTTCCAAAGTCATTTCCTGCAATTAGCAGCCTGCAGTCTTTAGGTTCTTGGGGCTGCCTCTTCTGCCCTTCATAAATATTGCCTTTCCCAAGGACACTGCTGGCACTGGCAGTGTCGTTTCATAGCAGGAGGGAGCAGCAGTGACAACTGAAATAAATACAGCCGTGGCACCGATCTCAGAGGCATAAGCCAGCCAAGTGCAACATCGGAGAAATCAGTCTGGTGGATGTCAGCCTTGCTGGAAACTGACAACCTCATTTTCTCAAGCTGAAGATGCTGCACCGCAGACCCTTGACTCAGTCCAACCAGACAGGGAATGTTCACCTTCAAGTGGTAGTGTTGTTCTCATCAGCATCTCCATCCCTTTCAGAGGGGGTCCTCTAAGCTGCACCCCCATCACACACACTTCAATCTAAGCCAGGAGTTTCTGAGCCTCGCCTGTCAATCTGCAGCTATCCTTCCCCCACACTTTGGCGGTGATGGGTGGCTCAGAGGTGACTAAACTTCCAAATCTTGTCCGCCTTCCCCTTTACAAATGTGACATTTAAAGCACCTTTGGCACAGGTAAATCACAATTACATTTTCAAGGGCCTCTGGTCCCATTCCAAATCTGTGAACAACCTGAGCTGGCAGTGGGAGGGCTCTCTCTCACACACACACACACACACACACACACACACACACACACACACACGGCTCCAGCCTTTCCAACTTTTATTCCTTTTCCGCACAGCTCCTTCTCATTGCAGCAATCACTTTACCTGTCTTTCCTGCAATGCCAATTCATTCCCACATCCCTCCAAGACCCAGGAGAGCTTGGGGAAGCAGGGTCAGGGACAGAATCCCCAAAGGGTCACAGTCCCTTGAGGAAGGTGGCAAGAGGTGTAGATCAAAGCTGAGCTGGGACAAAAGGCTGCTTTGAGCCTCTCTGGGTGAGCTCTTCAGGAACCAGGACCCCAGAAGGGCAAGCTCCTCTCTCCACGGCCATCGCCATGGAGGGATCCTCCAAGCTCCCACTTTCTGTGATTTCAGAGTCCCTCAGACTCGGCCGATGGGTCATTTTTCATGTATATTTTCTCTTGATTCCCCTCCTTCATGGCTGCATATCTGGCTAGCGTGAAGAGATAGTCACTGAGTCTGGAGGGGCAGAGAGAGAGAAGCAAACAGAATGGTTTGAAATGAGAGATCAACGCTAACTGGGTCTTCCCATATCCGCCTACAAGGAGGAGATATAAATGACGCACTCTGGGCACATTGTGCAGGGAGGGCGGGGGCCCAGCCATCTTGCACTTAATGGATGGCACACGAGGCCAGCTGCTGTGAATGCCAAGGACTCTACTCCAGTGTCAAGGCTGGGGCCATTCCTGCAGGATGAGGCCATTGCCCCGGCCCTACCCCATGGGGCAGATGACTTTGGACTCCTCTCTGAGCCGGTTTTTGCACCTTTGAGTGATCAGGGCTCAGGTGCGTGATCAGTTTGGGTGTTTCCCAAACTACAGTGTGCACAGGCATCACCAGGGGATCTCAGCGACGTGCAGATTCTGACTCAGGAGGGCTGGGCTGGGCTGGGCCCGGGGCTCTGCAGGTCTAGTTCCTGCCCTGGCTGATGCTGACACTGCTGGACTAGGCCCTACTGACATTCTGGATCATTCTGTGTGTTCGGGGCTGTCCTGTGCATCCTGTGCAGTGTAGGATGCTGACAGCACCTTTGGTCTCCACCCACCAGGTGCCAGTGGCACCCCTGCACCCAGTGTGACAACTAGTAATGCCTCCAAACATCGCCAAAGGTACCGGGTGAGAAGCACAGGCTGGAGCACTCTAGAGACCAGAGCCCAGCCCCTTTCCCGCCTCCTCCTTTGAACCAACAGCAATGGTCATCTGTGCATGAGGCCTTCTGCAGGGGCAGCAGTGGAGGGAACTAGAGGACGACGCCACGGGCCCCAGAAGGCGCTTACGCTGTCAGCTCTTCTGCCTTCTGCTGTCCGCACCTTTTGCTGTTTCACTCCCAGCACGAGGCACCACGTTCCTCCCTCTCTCTCTGCCCCAGTCTTGCCCTCAGAGGCCAGCTCCACACCACATCCTCCTGAGTCCTCCCCTGACTCAGGCCCCCTGGGCCCCACGGCTGGCTCTCAGGAAGAGCGAAGGGGAGGTTGTTCAGGGTATTTTACCCCTGGGCCGCATGCTCCTGGAGGGCAGTGGTGTGCCTGTTGCTTGTTGGCTCTGTGAAGCCTCACTGAGGAGATGAAATGGCCTGTCCCGTGCAATGCTATGGGACCGCAGGGTTGCTGCTTTGAAGGTGAAGTAGACCTGCTCCTCACTCCCGGCGAAACCCCCCTCCCAGAAGGAAAGGAGCTGCTCAGGACCCGTCAAAGCGCCATGTCTCTGGGAGGAGTGGCCACAGTCAAGGGCCTGAGGTCACTTTCTAGACACCCAGGACAGCTCCTGGGGTGCAGACCTGCTCCCCCAGCTCTCTACCTGCCCCCAGGCTCTGGCCTTGCCCACACTGATGCCACAGAAGCCAGGGCTGGGGCAGGAACCCGCAGAGCAGGCTTTGGGCCAGGTGTGGCTCCAGCCTCATGGGCCGGCCGCGAGGCAGAGGAAGCCCTCCCTGGGCTAGCCTGGCTCACTGGGGCCTGCATGGGGTCCCCTGAGCGCAGCTTGGCCCGGCTCTCTTGTTGGTTCATGCTGCCGCAGGCCCTCTCGGGGACAGGAAACTGGCTGAGAGAGGGCCTGAAGCCTGGCTCCCTGGTCAGTCACCACCGAGAGGCCTCCCCTGAGCACCCAGCCTCTAAGAACGCCCTTTGCCCCCGCAATGCCACTTTGCACTTAGGTTTTTCTTCCTGGTTTTTACAGCAGCCTCTCCCAATAAGATCTAAATCTTATCGGGACAGGCACAGGGCCCACCTTGTTCACCACTGCCTCCCCTGTGCCCGGCGTGGTGCCTGGCACAGAGCAGATGTTCATAAACACTAAGGGAATGAAGGAGGGGGTGCGGGAATGCTGCCCCACACTGCTTCCCGGACCGCTGCACCGCTGCTACTTCCCACAGATGAGCCTCGGCTTTCAGAGAGGAACCCCCAGGTTCCACGCGAGTACCTGTTTAAGAACTTGGCCACGTTCGCATCGGTCTCTCCCATCTGGACAAGAGGCACCACACTAGAAAGGGAGGAGACACTGAGTCACGTGACATTATGGGGCTCAACAGGCTCTGACCTGGGCCTAAACCTTGAGCAGCATTTCACATCCTGCCACCGCTCAACCTGAACCTGCACAGGCTCGGCCGGCAGTGGAGATGACAAATCCATCACAGGTGGGTTTAAACAGGCCATCGGCCCCCTTTCCACCAGCACATCGCAGGACGGCCTGGCCAAGGAGGGATCAAGGATGGCTGGTGAGTTGAGGGAGCCACCTGGCCTACACCACACCCCAGCCAGCCAGCTTTTGTACCACTGGACCTGGGTCTGGGTGGGGTGAAGTTGGGGTGGTCTGCCTCTAGCCTTCAAAGGAAGTGGGGGCCTGACCCTTAATTCCCAATGGGCTAAACTCTAAGCCCCTTGTACATCATGACTTAGAACAACTTCACAGGGGAGAAAAAGACCCAGGCAGACCAAGCTCCTGATTCCGCAGGATTCTGGATTCCTGGGGTCCATGCCAGTCTATTTGCAGATACATTAGACACTGGACGGCCATCTGCTGGGCACCAGTGTGGTGGCGGGCCCTTGCCGAGCCTTTCCCAGGTATCACCCTGTGGCATACCCCTTGTTGGCAAGCCAGCTACCCAAAGCCCAGCCTCAGGGTTCTCATCCCCACCCAAAGCCATGCACCCGGCTAGCGGCCCAGGAGGGTGTGCACCCAGGCCTGTCACAGAGCTCCAGGCTGTCTCTAGTGGGCACCGCATGCTCAGCGAGGAGCTTCCTCACCCGAGGTGCCCCAGGTGTGTGTCCCCACCTCAGGACAATCTGCACCTTGCCACTGCCATGGCTGCGTAACTCTCTGCTGCATGGAGGACCTATCAGCTGCTCCGCCATGCCTGTTTTCGGGGCCTTTGGGTTGTTTCCAGTTTCTTGCTATTATGAGCACTGCTGATGGATGGCTTTGTACAAATGACAGTTTTTTCTTTTGAAGCCAAAGCTTGTTCTGTTACCTGGGATCTCTAAGGAGCTATCTGGGCCCGAGAGCCTTTCATAAAGAACAAAACCTTAGTGGTGTGGGACCGTGGAAGAGCTCAGGCTTGGCCCAGACAGACGTGGACTCCAATCTGGATTCTGCTATCAACCATGTGGGGGACCGTGACCATGGTGTCATTTCTCTGAGCCACAGCTTCCTGACTCCTGTAAAACAGAGGCCACCACCACCTCTCTCCCAGGGCTATCAACAAGGAGTAAATGAAATTATGAACATAAAGTGCCAGTCCATTGGATCAAAGTAGGGCTTGCTTTCTCTTCTCTGTAAAGCTGGCTGGCAGCCTGGTCTCTGAGTGGTGTAGATAGAGACTTTGCTCATTTTCTTCTAAAGATTCCTTGAAAAGGCTGTCAGTAGCTTTGGAGGAGGTGGTGGCTAGTCTGCTGACAACGTCCACCTGGGCTCCCCACAGCCATGCAGGCCTTTCAGGAGCCTTATGCACCCAGCAGCCAGCAGGGTCCTTTCATGTCTACCCCTGTCCCCAAGATGGCTGAGGCTGAGAACCCAGCAATAACTTCCTGCTGTTCTCAGAATACAGGGCTCACAAACAAGGTGCAATTGTGTTGTCTGATAGTCTATTTGGTCACATGTCACTGTCTCCACTTCACAACATGGTGCTCTGAGGACAGGGACTTGGTCTGTCCTGGTCCCCGTCTGGCACAGTGGAGGGGCCCAGACAAGGTCTGTTGATGTGTGGCTGGATGGCTCAGAGATGGCCCTGCTGTACCTGCCTCCTGCCCGCTGTGCAGAGGCCCCTCTCCCTCTCCCCATCTCCGTCCTCCTCTCCCTCTCCCTCCCCCCTCCCCCTTGTTCCTCTCCCTCTCCCTTGGGCCCTCTCCCTCTCTCCAGCCCTCTTACCGTCTCTCGGCCCGGCGGCACACGGCCCGGCAGAAATGCAGCGCCGAGCTGATCTTGCCTCCCGACTGAAAGGAGAAAGGGACATTGCCTGAGCAGGGTGGGAAAGGTGTGCCCACTGCGGACAGGAGCTCCTCTGAAGTCCAGCCCTGCCCCCCAAACCGGGCAGTGTTCTGCCTCCAGGAGCCCTGCCACGGCACACCCACCGGGCACGCTGCTCCAGAGTGGGCAGGGCTGGGAGGGACCGGTGAGGACCTGGAGGGACTTGGGGAACTGGAGGACAGCGTCTGTCACTGTGAAAAGAGGGATTTATTCAGAGCCCATGTGTGTCTGTCACTGAACCTGCCTGCAGCCGCCCCCGGTTAAGCCTGCCCAGTACCTACAGGCAGGATGAAGGCCGTGAGTGGTGGGAGCTGGCTGGTGTACTTGTCGATCCACTGCTCCAGCTCCAGGATGGGCCCCGCCTTGAACGTGGTATACTCTGAGGAGCCAAGGAGCAGAGGGAACTGCCATGAGGCCATCACCCACCAGACCATGGCGGGAACCACCCCCGCCGCCCTTCCACCTGGGTGTCCCGCAGACTGCTTCCACTGGCTCAGAAGGTACCTTCCCTCCCAGGAGCTACGAGCAAGGCTAACTGACCCACCCGTGGGTCCCTGGGGGCCTGGGATCCCAGATGGTGACCCTAGGAGAGTCCCCTGACCCTAGGGCCCTCTGAACACCCACAGGAGTTTGAGAATTACTTAAGTGAGCCTCCCGGGCCGAGGAGCATGGTGTCGCCAGGGCCGAGCCGACGTCCTGCAATGTGCACTGGATCTGGGGGGCGACAGAAAGTGACAGTCAAGATCTATGTGAGATGGGCTGGACAGAGACAATGTGCAGAGGCGCCACCTAATACGCCGGCAAAGCCTGTGCCAGCTAGCTCATGAAGGGCTGTGATATGGTTTGGCAATGTGTCCCCATCCAAATCTCATGTTAAATTGTGATCCCCAGAGTTGGAGGTGGGGCCTGGTGGGAGGTGATTGGATCATTGGGGTAGTTTTGAATGGTTTAGCCCCAGCCCCCTAGTGCTGTCTTGTGATAGAGTTCTCATGAGATGTGGTTGTTTGAAAGTGTGTAGCACCTCCCTCTTCACACTCTCTCTCTCCTATCAGCCATGTGAAGATGTACCTGCTTCCCCTTTGCCTTCCGCCATGACTGTAGGTTTCCTGAGGCCTCCCCAGAAGCAGAAGCCTGTACAGCCCACAAAACCATGTGCAGATTAAACTTCTTTTCTTTATAAATTATCCGGTCTCAGGTAGTTCTTTATAGCAGTGCGAGAACAGACTAATACAGGCTATCAGACCTTGAACTGGCTGACATTTGAAAGCAAACTCTGAACTTTCAGCACAACATCTTCGTTGGACACCCAGCCCTGCTGAGGGGGACCTGGTGTGGCTCTTTTGCAGTCTGAGGGAGGAAAAGGCTCCCATGGGGGCAGCAGCTGGGTTAAGCAGATGACACGCATCACACACCCAGGGACAGTCAAGAGGAACCGTCTGGGCTCTGTCCACGTCTCCTGTGCACCTAGGCCCTGTGAGGTTTTCTTCTTTTCTCAACATTTGACAGCTTTGGTTTTCTAACCTGTAACAGTTGGGCCAAGAGGTCAAATGTGACAGTGCTTTCTAAACTCTAAAGGACAAGGAGCTTGGAGAATGTAGTCAGCCGAGGCGTGTGGGGATTCTGGGAGCAGGAAGCCTGGCTGGGTGAGGCCTGTGCTCTGTCCAGGTGGGGAGTGGGTTTGCTTGGAACAGAAGTGGTCTGTTAAGGTCTGCTGCAGGACTCCAGGCCCCTGCATGACAAATGTCCAACAGCTCTCATGCATGTGAAGACCACAAGTACCACCTCTGACTTTGTGCCCAGCCAGGGTCCACTCAAGCTGGATGGTGGGCTACCAGGAGGGTGAAGGTCTGCGACTTCTGACCTCTCCTAAGATGGCCACTGTGACAGCATTCAAGAAGCAGGCCATGGTGTGTGAGAGCAGAGGCTGCCCATCCAGCACTGGGCTGGAACCTTCCCAGGGCTTCTGACCAGCAGACCTTGGGCAAGCTGCTTCCCTGCTTGGGGTCTCTGCACTTTCACAGTCAAAGCGGGAGTGATAATACTACCCACTTGGTTGGCCACGTGCAGCGTGTACCCCAAGGGCTGGGGAGAAATGGCACCAGTTTGGGAATCAGATTCCAGCTCTACTGATGCCTGGCTGTGGGGGCTGGGCAAGTCAGCCTTTCTGAGGCTCAGTTTGGCTCCCTATAAGCTGTGGACATTAACTTCCACCTCACGGGTGTCTGTGAGGGTGAAATGGGTGATATGAGGAAAGCAGTGGCATTGCTGCCCGGCCTCATCCACAGGCCCTGCGAGCGGCTACCAGGCCAGGCGGGGCTCCCAGGTGAACCAGACACTGTCCCCGCCCTCACAGTGCCAAGGCTGGGTGGGAGGTGGATGGGTGAACAGGTTAACACCCCTTGTGATGCCTGTGGTTAGAGGATGTGGAAATCCAGGAGCAGTGCCTAACCCAGCTGGAGATTAGGTGGCCAGGGAAGGCCCTTGAGGAGGTGACGTGACAGCTGCGACCCAACGCGTACAGCAGACAGAAATGACCGCTGCTACCGCGGCTCCTCAGGAGGTTGAAAGCCTTCCTCCACCACACAGAATGTTCTGGCAGCTGAGGCTTCCTCCTGCAGCCACAGCCTGTGGCAGCCCCACCTACTACCCTCCGTCTGTTCCCAGGGGCCTGAGCAGGCTCCAGCCTGGGCTTCAGAACGGAAGTGGGAAGGGCTGACCCTGCGGGGAGCGGTTTCTGGGGACCTGGGTCCATGTGGAGGTGGAAAGTGCGGCACCCTGGGCATTCTGGGGTGGTGACCCTGTCTCCGTGCTTGAAGTTCTCTGCGTGGGTCAGAGGCCCCCTCCTTCTTAGGGAACAGAACAGTGACACTGTGACGCATGAGTCCCACGGGCTGAGGGCTCACTGCAGCTAGGCTTCCCAGGTTCCCTCTGCATCGGGCATGAGCGAGGCACTTCACACCGGCTTTCTCAGCCTCGGTGCTATTGCCATTCAAGGCCGGGTCATTCTTCGTTGACGGGGGCTGTCCCCTGCATTGCAGGATATTTACATGCCAGCAACACCCCCAACACCCAGATGTGGCAACCAAAAATGTCTCCAGATATTGCTCAGCGGGCCCTGAGGGGCAGAATGGCCCTGGGTTGAGAACCGTTGCATTTTAAATTCCCTCATTTAGTACAATCCTCCCCACTCGCCTGTGAAGGAAGATTATATGTCTCCAGTTGTTTGTTTTGGAGACAGAGGTTTTTTTTTTTTTTTTTTTTTAAAGACAGGATCCCACTCTGTTGCCCAGGCTACAGTGCAGTGGTGTAATCACATCTCACTGCAGCCTCAACCTGTAAGACTCAAGCGATTCTCCCACCTCAGCCTTGTAAGTTGCTGGGACTATGGGTGCATGCCACCATACTTGGCTAATTTTTAATTTTTTTTTTTTTTTGTAGAGACAGGGTCTCCCTAAGTTGCCCAGGCTGGTCTTGAACTCCTGGCTTGAAGTGATGCTCCCACCTTGGCCGCCCAAAGTGCTGGGATTACAGGCTTAATTGAACCATGGTGCTCGGCCTGAGACAGGGTCTCAATCTCTTGCCCAGGCAGGAGTGCAGTGGCATGATCACAGCTCACTGCAGCCTTGACCTCCTGGGCTCAAGAGATCCTCCTACCTCAGTTTCCTGAGTAGCTAAGGCTACAGGCATTCACCACTATGCCTGGCTAATTTTCAAATATTTTGTAGAGTCAGGGTCTTATTATGTTACCTAGGCTCCTGGCCTCAAGTGATCTTCCTGCCTCAGTCTCCCAAGTAGCTGAGATTGCAGGTGTGAGCCACCATACCTGGCCTGTCCGCATTTTACAGATGAAGAAATGGAGCTCACAGAGGGAGAGTAACTAGCCCCAGGTGACACAAAGAGTAACTGGTGGCTGGATGCTGAGTCCCGTGATGGCCACCGGGGCTGAAGATTCCCAGCTTGGGTGAGATGGTGTTACTCACTTTCTGAAGCTCTTCGGCAAATGTATGGCCCTTTTCTGTGACTAATTCCAGAGCAAACCTATGAAGAAAAAGGAAAAAGAATTTGCCTGTAATGTAATGTCCCTAGGCCCTGTCTTGCCATAAACAATAGATTCTCAGGTGGCAGGCCATTTAGTTAATTTAGCTATAATAGCCATGTTATTTTTCTTGCTAACAATAAGAACATTATAGCCTTCCATTTGGGGGCGGTGGTATTTGTTTCTTGAAATGCCTTTTCGGATGCTCATTATTTCCAGTCAAGAATTCCTTTTGAACAGCTACTCTGGCCAGGCCCAGGAGAGTCAGTGGTGAACAGAAGCTGACCCAGGCTCTCTCCAGCAAGTTGGTGACAGGGTGAGCAGTGACAGTCTCAAGTGCTGGATCCTGAGCTCTGACCCGCAGCCCTGTGGTGATAGGTGAGTGGGAACCAGACAGACCCAGGTGCAAATTCTGCACCGCTGCTGAGTGTCTCTGGGACTTCAGGCAAAGCTTACACCTTCATGTTCAGGAGCGTGATATTCAGGAGTGTGATAGGTAATCAGATTAGACATACTCCTGAATGTGAAGGTGCAAACTGAGATCAGTGCTCTGAAGGAAAGAGCAATAGAAGCCTAATCTGACCTTGGCTAGAGAGGCAGGGAGGGCTTCCTGGAGGAGGTGATGCTGGAGGGGAGACTTTGAAGGCTGGGGAGGACTTCCCTCATAAGGCAGAGAAAGCAAACTGCCCCCCGACACAGGTCAGGACCCTGGCTCTGCCTCCCTCAGAACCCTGCACTTCCCTCCTGCACCAGTCAGTGCCCCAGCAGGAGACAGTGGCGCGCTGCAGGGATTCCTGGAGGAGGGCTTTGGGAAGGGACAATTCACAGAGGTATGGGCAGAGTTTCAGGGAAATGCAGGAGCCTGAAGGGCAAGGGTCGGGGAAGGTACAACTCACCCTGGAGGGAGCTGAATTCTGGAGTCACTCAGCAGGGAGGGAGTTAGGTAGGGAGCCCAGCTGCCACCAGAGCCATGCACCACTGGGGAACAGGGTCACACACACTCATGAGCTCTCTGCACTCACTCTCCTATCACCTACTGGTGCCTCCCACTGGCTGGACCCACCTGAATGCCAGAAGACCAACGAATCGAGGTGGCACAGCCACCAGGTGATAAGGTCAGCCTCCCATGCATAAAGAGAAGGTGAAGAGAAGGGATTTGAAAGGGCCAATGGAGAATATCCAGCCCATCTTCCTGGCACATCTTACAGTTAGAACTAAACACACCAGTATGTGATTCCCGTCTGGTGTGTCTTCCCCTCTGGACCAAAGGGAGGGCTGTGCAGGCTGGGACACAGTCTGTCTCCATCATAGCGGATGCCCCATGCCTGCCTCACAGGAGGTGTGCAGAAGTACCTGCTTGCCGAGGGATGCCCCGTGACCAGGCCAGTGGCAGGCCCCACCCTGGGCACTTGCCCCAAGCCTGCTCCCACCCTCGTAGCTGCCCAGTGAGTGCTGCCTGCTCCCTGCACTCTGCAGCTCAGGAAGGTGGGGCTGAGGTTCTGCTCCCTGCACTCTGCAGCTCAGGAAGGCGGGGCTGAGGTTCTCTGTTGAGCAGCGCCTCGCACTGCAGATGCTTGGTCAATATCTGACCAAGGAAGAATCCACAACTGAGGTTTCTCCAACCTCCCGCTCCTCCTCAACTGAGAGACGATGGCTCGTGTTTTAGAGCTCATTAGAATAGCTGATGCGAGAACTGGCCTTTTCTCCCTTTGCCCACTTGGTCTTGTGTCTGCCCTCTTCTGGACCCCCTCCCACACACACCAAGGGGTTTGTTTGCCTTCTCTACCCGGCTGGCTGACTATCTGTACCTCCCATTATCTGTCCCGAAAATCTCACCTAGTCAGGCCCGCCATGGAGAAATGGTAGCCAGGAACAGGTAAGTGTTAAGAATAGTAATAATGAGGAGACTCGCTTGAACCCGGGAGGCAGAGGTTGCAGTGAGCCGAGATCACACCATTGCACTCCAGTCTGGGCAACAAGCGCGAAACTCCGTCTCGGAAAAAAAAAAAAAAGAAGAGTGATAATAGCTAACATTATTTTTACTTGTGCTAGGCACTGTCCTCAGGGTGAAACATGGAATCATCTCATTTAAGCCCCACAAGAACAGTGAGATGGGAATTATCATGATGACTACTTGACAGAACCGTAAACTGAGGCTCACAGAGGCCACGTGATTTACCTGACGTCCCAGAGACAATCAGCAGCGGTGCTGAAAATTTGCAGCTGGGTCTGTCTGGCTCCCATGCACCTATAACCCCAGGGCCCCGGGGTCAGATTTCAGGATCCAGCACCTGAGACTGTTGCTGCTCCCCCTGTCACCAGCCTGTAGGGCATGCTGGGCAGACTGTGCTCCTGCTTGCAAATATTTGCTGCCCCTCCTACCCCGCTGATGTCAGGCATGTGCACGTGACAGGCTCTGGCCGCTGAAATGTGAATAAATGGAAGGCATCATTCCCAAGAAAGGTTTGTCTTTTGGAGACAGAGTCGTACTCTGTCACCCAGACTGGAGTGCAGTGGTGCGATCATGGCTCACTGCAGCCTCAACCTCCCAGACTCAAGTGATCCTCCTGCCTCAGCTTTCTGAGTAGCTGGGACTACAGGTGTGCACCACCACGCCTGGCTAATTTTTTAACTTTTCTTTTTAGTAGAGATGAAGTCTTGCTATGTTGCTCAGGCTGGTCTCAAACTCCTGAGCTCAAGTGATTCTCCCACCTCGGCCTCCCAAAGCGCTGGGATTAGACATGTGAGCCGCTGCACCTAGTCATTTTTTTTTCAACTTTTATTTACCAACAAAGTTTAGTCTCCATAAAGACTGTCAAAAACTGCCAATGTTGACTATATTTCAAGTCATCATGGTGGGGTAGTGGGAAAAGTTTTCAATCAGCAATAATCACATCTTGGGTAAACCTCACTGGCGACAACACTGACACTGCACAATCCCCTGGCAGCGTCAGGAGCCAATGTGAGCTTCACCATGACCTCTTTTCCCTCTGCCACAATGACTGATAATTGCCCCAGGCAGCAGCTGTACTAGCAGCCTGTGTCCCAGAATGAAGGCCGCATGGAGCCAAAGAATATACCCTGTGATGGGCATGAAGTGGGAACAGCAAGTCCATCTTTGGTGTCATAAGTCAGGAGATTTTGGGGTTGTCTGTGATCACAGCATGACCTGGCCCATCCTGATCTGGTCCATCCTTGAGTCCACCTTCTAAACTTTGGCTTATGTAAAAAACAACAGTCACAAAAGGGATCACATTGGATGTACTGTGCATTATACTAACTCACCTCTTTCACTCAGTATACTAACCTCAGTGGCACACACAGGCTCACCTGAAAAGTGAGGGATGAGAGGGAGGCAGCTTCACATGGCATGGGCCAGAGGCCAGCGCAGGCACAGGCAGGGCCAGAAGGGAAAGGAGTCTGCAGCCCCACAGCCTTGTGGAGCTGACCAGCCTGTGCTTCAGGGCTGAGGAAAGTTCAATAAGGGCTGACAACCTCCGAGGCTGCTGCCCAGCATGCGTGAGAGCTTCACATTCATTACGTTTACTCATACTCGACTCAAACGCAACCTCAAGGCCAATCCTGTCCCCCTTACCCAATAGCTGAACTTAATTCATCTGTAGTTCCCACGGCTTCAAACACTTGGTCATCTTTGGGTCTCCTTTCTCCTGTGAAGGTACTAGAAAACCCTGTGGAAAAAAATGTTTAGCCACCCAAATTAAGATTCTGTTTTCCTGATATGCTGTTTTTTTTTTTTTAAACTTTCAAAGATTTTAAAGAACTTTCTCTTTTTTGAACAGTCACTCTGTCATCCAGGCTGGAGTACAGCGGCGTGATCTTGGCTCACTGCAGCCTCCCCCTCCCAGGTTCAAGTGATTCTCATGCCTCAGTCTCCCAAGTAGCTGGGATTACAAGTGTGTACCACCATGCCCGGCTAATTTTTGTATTTTTAGTAGAGACGGGTTTTCGCCCATGTTGGCCGAGCTAGTCTTGAACTCCTGGTCTCAAGTGATTCACCCGCCTCAGCCTCCCAAAGTGCTGAGATTACAGGCATGAGCCACCGTACCACCCCTTAAAGAACTTTCAACTTGAAATATAGCATATACACAGAAAAGTGCTCAAATCGTAAGTGTGCAAGTTGGTGAATTACTACTAACTGAATATACCTCCTTGATCAGCACCTAGCTTCATAAACAGAACATGAGCAACACCCTGAAAGCCCCCATGTAACCCCTTTTAGTTGCCACTCCCCAAGGGTTAGCCACTATGCTCACTTCTTTCCTGATGTGCTTTTCAACTTAAAAACCACATACTAACCATCCTGATAAAGAAATACAACACGTTCTATATTTTATATCATATATACATTACCATTATATTTCACATGAAGTCAAAGTCCTCTGTGCCTCTGCCTAGCTCACAGTCCCGCCTTTCTCCCCCAACCTCTGAGAAAGTGAAAACTGCCCCTGACAGTTTGGAGCTGGCTTTCGCTATCGGGCAGGCTTTGGGGTTGCCAGGTGCCGGCCTGGCACTCACAGGTAGACTGTGGTGTTCTGCTGAACACAAACCATTTCACAGAAAACCATCAGACAGGCCACTCTATGACTATGACGGTTCGAGACCAAGACAAGGCCACTGCGGAAGAACGTCTGAGCACAGACGACTGTGTCCAAACTCCAAAAGATGACCAAACCTCCCCCTTCCCTGGCTAATGTGAGTGACTGCTGCATCTTTATCCATTACAGCGTTAGCACCTCTTTGTCCCTTCTGTCTTCTAGAAACAAATTATTAACATACCCAATTACAGGCCAGGTGCAGTGGCTCACACTGTAATCCCAGGACTTTGGGAGGCCATGGTGGGCAGATCACTTGAGGCCAGGAGTTCGAGACTAGCCTGGCCAACATGGCAAATCCCCGTCTCTACTAAAAACAGAAAAAATTAGTTGGGCATGGTGATGCATGCCTGTAGTCCCAGCTATTCGCGAGGCTGAGGCATAAGAATTGCTTGAACCCAGGAGGTTGCAGTGAGCTGAGATCGTGCCACTGCACTCCAGCCTGGGCAACAGAACTAGACCCTGTCTCAAAAAACAAAAAAAGATACCCAGTGACAGAAACAGCCCTGCTTCCTAACAGGATTCAATCCAGAACAAAGCCCCACTTCCTTGTAACCACCCAACACAAGCCCAACCCTACAATAAGTCCTTTCCAACATCCTCTTCCTTCTTTTTAATTGTGGTAACAGATGATACATAACAGAAATTTTACCATTTTGACCCTTCTTAAGTTTACCATTCAGTGGCACTGAGTATGTCCCGTACATGCTTTTATACTTTTACTATACAAGTATATATCCAAAAAACAATACATACTAGTGGTCTGCATGCTTTTGTACTACAAAAAATGGTATACTGTCTTGGTGCGGTAGCTCATGCCTCCTGTAATCCCAGCATTTTGGGAGGCTGAGCTGGGAGGATACCTTGAGCCTAGCAGTTCAAGACCAGCCTGGGCAACACAGCAAGACCTCATCTCTACAAAAAAAATTAAAAAGTATTAGCCAGGCATGGCGATGTGTGCCTGTTGTCCCAGATACTCAGAAGGCTGAGGTGGGAGGATTGCTTGAGTCTGAAAGGTGGAGGCTGTTGTGAGCCATGACTGAGCCACTGCACTCCAGCCTGGGTGACAGAGTAAAACCCTGTATCAAAAAAAAAAAAAAAAAAGGATCATAGCAACGCATTCTTCTGCATCTTACTTTTTTCTATATAACATGTTCTAGCATTTTAAAAACTATTAAAGTAATATATACTCATTATAAAAAATAATAAAATAGAATAAAAGTATGTAAATAGTGAAAGTCCTTCTGTTTGTTCCCCTCTCACAACTTAATCTCTCTCCCAGAACAGTCCCAGGTGTAACCTTTCAGACTATTCTACACACACCTGAACACACATATATGTACATGCTTATCCAGACAGATTCAGGCTTTTGTCATTTAATATCTCTTGGGTGTTTTTCATTTCACATTACATTTTTGTAACATATTTTGAGATCTGTCAAATATCATACTTTTTTTTTCTGAGACTTTTTTTTTTTCTGAGATGGAGTCTTGCTCTGTCACCCAGGCTGGAGTGCAGTGGCATGATCTTGGCTCACTGCAACCTCTGCCTCCCGAGTTCAAGCAATTCTCCTGCCTCAGCCTCCCAAGTAGCTGCTGGGGTTACAGGCATGGACCACCATACTCAGCTAATTTTTGTATTTTTAGTAGAGATGGGGTTTCACCACATTGGCCAGGCTAGTCTCAAATTCCTGGCCTCAGATGATTAGCCCAACAGGGCCTCCCAAAGTGCCGGGATTACAGGCATGAGCCACCGCGCCTGGTATATTATACTTTAAAGTGGCTGCAAAGAATTTGGAAGAACTTTAAAATGGTGTATGCCATGAGTATTTCTTTGCATTTTTCACCTGTCCCCACCCTACCTTTGTCTCCCGTTTTGGTGTAAATCTTGGGGATCCTGGGTGTCTTCGAGGAAGGCTGTGGCCTAATGAGAAATAAACATCAGTATCTGGTGAGTGGGGATGGCTTACACAGAGGGTCAGCTCCTTCAGAGGGTCCCAGCTTGCTGCTTGTAACCTCAGAGGCAGCACTTACCCCTTACTGCTTAGATGGTCATCTCTTGTTGATTTCTTTCCCCTAGATCCTTTCTAATAGCAAACATTTTGTGGGCAAGACCAGAGCTGGATGACAGAGTGTGTAGAGTAGCTGATGTAATGCCTTGCTCAACAAAGATGCTCAATAAATATTTGCTGAAGGACTTGATTGATCCTTTGCCATTGTCCCTGCACTGTGCCAAGTAGTTTACAGGCATTATCTTCTGGAATTATCCTGGAATCTTTCCACAACCCCAAAGGTAGCCAACACCTATTCTCTTCATTTTACTGAGGAGGAAACTATGGCTCAGATGAGACACCTTCCTAGACCATCCAAGAAGAGGCAGGAGTGGGATGCCCAAAACTGTCCTAGACCAGAGCACAAACTGTAACTTCTATCCTACCGAAATTATTTATTTATTTATTATTATTATTATTATTTTGAGATGGGGTCTCACTCTGTCACCCAGGCTGAAATGCAGTTGCACGATCTAGGCTCACTGCAACCTCTGCCTCCCAGGCTCAAACAATCCTCCCACCTCAGCCTCCCGAGCAGCTGGGAGCACGGGTGTATACCACCACACCCAGCTAATTTTTTTTTTTTTTTTTTTTTGGTAGAGACGGGTTTCACCATGTTGCTCAGGCTGGTTTTGAACTCCTGAGCTCAAGCAATACTCCTGCCTCAAACTCCCAAAGTGTTGTGATTACAGGCGTGAGCCACCGTATCTGGCCTATGATTATTTTGTTCACAGACAGGGTCTTGCTCTGTTGCCTAAGCTGGAATGCAGTGCAGTGGCATGATCATAGCTCACTGCAGCCTTGAACTCCTGAGCTCAAGTGATCCTCTGCCTCAGCCTCCCAAGTAGCTAGGACTCTTAACTCTATCCTACCCAAATTTTTATCTTATACTCCACCAACTCAGGGCCTCTTGCAGGAAAAGAAACCTGAGCCACTTCCATAGTATGAGGCTTCGAGTGTACTCAGAGATGAAGAATTGCCAAAATACAGCTCAAAAAGTGGCATTTTCAAAAAACAATGTAAACAACTCAAGGACATAGCTCAAAATTAAAATGTGACATTACAAGCCCATTCGAAGGTTAATTTCCTGGATCTGTGAACTAAATTAATCCATTATTAATCCACGGTACTCTAGAGGTTCTGAGGTCTGGGTTGAGGTGCAAGTTTCAAGGAATATGAGGAAAGCCATCTTTAGAAGGTGCTGGTGTATCTGGGACCTGGGGAATAAACTGCTTTGGAGATTGGTCACAATCTGAGTCGAGAGCCCTCCTGGCCCACATGGGATATGCCCTGCCCTGCCCGATGATAGCGGGACTTCATTGGGACTTAGGCAAAGACTACCTGGTCTCTGGCGCCCACGTGGCCCACGTTGCCATGGTGACGTCAGAACAGCGTGGAGACGTCACCTGACGGTTGCCGCGGTGACCTCACGGCGGTGTGACGTACCCATGGCGACGACACCACGATTCACGGCAGGTGTTCGAGTTGCCCTTCCCGCCAGCCACTCACCTGTCCCCGTCTTCCACGCCCTGAGGGCCGCGGCTCTGGAAACGGGGATACAGGAGCCTGGCGGCGCCGAAGCACCCGCGCAGGCCAAGACGGCTCCCCAGGCCAAGACGGCTCCCCAGGCCGCACACAGCCATGAGCCAGGCTGCTTGACGGGACCTGACCCCGCCAGGTTCCCGTCCAGTCCGCGGGGTGACTCCACCCACAGCTGGCCGCGCCACCGCTCAGGTTTCAATTTTTATTGGTTCGCAGTTCTCACCCCAGGGCGGGACACTCCCAGGGACTTGTTTCCCATTGGTTTAACGGAAGGAGCGGGGCGGGAAAACCCGTGTCGGCTTGGCTGCAACACCTATTGACCAATGTTCAAGCCTATTGGTAAAGGTACTCCGGGCTCGCGCGCTCTGATTGGCTGGCCTGAAGTACAACGCCTCCTCCCCTTGAGGCACGGGCGCTCTGGGTTGTGGGAGTTGGGGAGCTGCTCCGGCTTCGGCGCGGAGGGGCGGCGGCCGGGGAGGCGGCGGCGGCGGCAGGTGAGAGGCCGGGGTCGGGCGGCCGGGCGGCGCGAGGTCCTAGACCCAGGACGACGCTGAGCCAGGCGTCCAGCTTCTGTGGCTCAGTTTACCCAGCTCTGAGAGTCTTGCCCCGAGGGATCGGCGACCTCAATCTGACAGTCGTGATTTTGAGCTTGACAAGCAAGGGGATTCCCCGCTCTGAGCCTCAGTTTTTCTAAGAAATGGGGATCACGATAGTACTTAGCTCATAGTACACCTGAATCTTAGCGTAAGGTAATCTACGTAAAGCCTTAAGCGGAGGATAATTTTGCGTTATGTATAAAAGTGTAAATTGCACACACCTATAGACCCTGCAAGCTCCTTTCTAGGACTCTGTCCTGCAGAAATACTCATTTAAGTGTGCAAAACGAGGCGTACTGGGTGTTTTCTGCAGCCTTGTTTATAATTGTGACACATTGGAAACAGCCTAAATGTCCAGCAAAGAGTTCTTTCTGCTCCATGATTTCATGTAATTTCTACCTTTAATAGTAGTAGTTGTAAAAGCTGAAACGAAGAACAGAGCCAGTAATAAGTAGCTCTCAGTAATTGAATGATTAGTAGGTGCCAGACACCGCCAAGTGTTTCCCTTGCGTTAATTTAACCTTCCTAACATCCACCGAGGTAGGTACGGTTATTTTCTCTCCATATAACGTGTGGGGAAACCGAGGTTCTTAGCCATTTAAGTGAGTTAACTAAGATGACATCACTGGGGAGTGGAAGAGCTGGCATTTGAACCCAGATCTGTTGGATGTGTCCAGTTGACTCCTGCATTGCCTTTCTGGTACGTAGCAAGTGCTGGACGGTAACTACCTTTTTTGTTATTATGATGGGCTTGAACTAGGTGTTCTAAGATCTCTTCCTGCTGGTTCTGACATCTAGAGATCTTTGCTCTTCTCATTGGCTTTCCCTTTTAGGATTCCCAGGAGCCATGTTGTCAGAAGTCCTACTGGTGTCTGCTCCGGGGAAAGTCATCCTTCATGGAGAACATGCCGTGGTACATGGCAAGGTACAAAGCCGTTAGAGCCTTTAAGGATTGGGTACCCCTTCTCCCTGATGCTAATTTTGTAAGAAGGTAAAAGGACACCCTGAGGCACAGCTTGGGAGCAGATCAGAGAGATCAGGTTCTCCCCAGCCAGGCAAGGAAAAGATTTCTTATGCCCACTGAAGGGATTCTTGGGCCTCGCTCGGTATGATAGCAAAAAGATGATTATAATATAAAGCCCTGTGAGTGGAATGAGATCACCTAGGAGTGAGCTTTGATGCAGAAGGAAAGAGGTTTGAGAACTGAGCTCCGGGGCACTAAGACATTTAGAAGTTGGAAGGATGATCTAGCAAAGGAGTTGAAAACATCCATTATCTCATTTTACCCTTACAGCTACCCCCAAGGCATACCCTTTTATTATCCTATTTTACAAATGTGCAAACTGAGGCTTAGGAGAGAAGTGGTAACTTGATCCAAGTCCTATATACCTTGGTAGAGCTTGGTGTGAACCTAAGTCTGTCTGAAACCACCTCTGCTGCACTCTGCTTTTTTTTTTTTTTCCTGAGACAGTCTTGCTCTGTCACCGGAGTGCAATCTTGCGATCATGGCTCACTGCAGCCTCCAACCTCAGCCTCCCAAGTAGCTGGGACCACAGGTGTGTACCACCATGCCCCACTAATTTTTTTCTTTTATTTTTCTGTAGAGACGTGGTCTGACACTACGCTGGTCTCAAACTCCTGGGCTCAAGTGATCCTCTTGCCTTGGCCTCCCAAAGTGCTGGGATTACAGATATGAGCCACCACACCTGGCTTCTCACTGCTATTCTTTATGTTCTTATATTTCTCATTGAAAACATGGTGATTATGGGGAAGTGATTCCTTGGTATTGAGAACCTCTGAAATTTTGCAGGCAGAAGGCAAAGTGGATTTTAACTTTTAGCTGATCGATGGTGGCTGTTCCCAGGCTTAGTGGGAGAGCATGCCAAGGTTGATTAGCAGTGTCTGGCAAGGGCATGGCTAGGAGTGGCCTCTGTGCTTATGTTTGCTCTCTTCTTAGCACGTGGGTCCTGGCCCCTTTGCCACTCACCCTCAGGCTTATTGCTTTTGTCATTTATTCTATAGGTAGCACTGGCTGTATCCTTGAACTTGAGAACATTCCTCCGGCTTCAACCCCACAGCAATGGGAAAGTGGACCTCAGCTTACCCAACATTGGTATCAAGCGGGCCTGGGATGTGGCCAGGCTTCAGTCACTGGACACAAGCTTTCTGGGTGAGTGCAAGGAGGAGAAACCAGGTGTGCTAAGAGCCTACAGAGAGGGCAGCTGGCCAGGTATTCTGGGCTGTCCCCAAGGGAGCCAGGGGCCAGCTATTTCCCGGGTGTTTTCTACCCTGACCTCATAAAATTAGCTTCACTCATTTTATTTTTTTAAAATTTATAGGTGTAAAACAATGCATTGGATCTCTGTGGGCTGTTGTGGACAGATCATCAAGGCCTATTGTTGAGTGAAAAAAATGCAAAACAGCAAACATACGTATTTAAGTATAAATATGTGTATAAATGATAGAAAAGGTCTCGGGGGCATAGACATCAGATTGGCAGTGGTGATTAGTTCTCCTGGGAGAGACCTAGGGCCAGAGAGTAGACAAAGTGACACATGTTTTAAATAAGGAGAATATATTGGCATTTTGTATAATTAAAAATTGATAAAAGTAGGCCAGGCACAGTGGCTCATGCCTGTAATTCCAGCACTTTGGGAGGCCAAGGCGGGCGGATCATCTGAGGTCAGGAGTTCGAGACCAGCCTGGCCAACATGTCGAAACCATGTCTCTACTAAAAATACAAAAATTAGCTGGGTGTGGTGGCACACACCTGTAATCTCAGCTACTCAGGAGGCTGAGGTAGGAGAATCGCTTGAACCTGGGAGGCAGAGGTTGCAGTGAGCCAAGATTGCGCCATTGCACTCCAGCCTGGGGGACAGGGCAAGACTCCATCTCAAAAAAAAAAAAAAAAATTTAATAAAAGTACAAGTTACCTATGCTTATTATTGGAAAATATAGTCAATACTGGGACATTGTAATTTTAAAAATCACCTATTATTTCCCTTCTCCTTTCCCTGACCCCAGTAATGACTCTAAGCATTTAGGCATTAATCCTTCTGGGTGATTTTCTGTAGATTGATAGAAAGATTGATAGAGACAGGGAGATATCTTGGTTTTTTAACCAAAATTGGGTCAGGCCATATAAACCATTCAGAAGTACTGATTTTTTCTTTGTGTGTCACGTGTGTGTGCTGATTTTTGACAGCACTGTGAAGATTTCATCCACTCATAAGCAGGCCAGCTTTTTCCATCAGTGGAGTCCCCTGTACCTGCCCCAGAGCTGACGTGTGTTTTCTCTGTTGTCAGTTTACTGTCTGCTCCCTGGGCTGAATGAAGCCTTGCTCTTTGGAACAGTGTTTCTCAGCCAGGATGGGGTAAATGAGAATCTTTTTGGGTTTTTTCCTTACACTGCACCTGAACCCTTGACACCTGCTTCCCATTCCCCATGAGAAACCACAGTCACTCCCATATGCCGTATGGGGATGGAGGAAGAGTTGAAAATTCTCATTTCACTTGTTGAGATGGGGTCTCACTGTGTTGCCCAGGCTGGTCTGGAACTCCTGGGCTCAAGCAGTTTTCCACTTTCCCACCTTGGGCTCCCAAAGTGCTGGGGTTACAGGTGAGAGCCACTGTGCCCAGCCAAAATCCTCATTTTAGAGCAGCCCTTTTTAACTTCATCATATCTTGGAATCACCCAGGAGTTTTTTGTGATGGTGGTGGTGGTTTTTTTTAACCAATACAGATGGATGGGCTCCTGGCTCCGCCCCTCTCTTATTGGGAGTTGGTAGTGGTGGTAGGAGTTTTTGAAAGGGGTTCCTTGGGTGATTCTGGGGACACCTCAGTTAAAAGCCACTCCTTTGGAGCGTGCATCTGAAAACAACCAGCCAGAGCACATGGAACTTGCTTTCCAAGGTGCACAGGGCCACCCAGCCAGACCAGAAATGTCTCCTGAGAACCAGCTGCAACTTGTGTATGTCAGTAGCTTGGGGTGGAAGCAGCCAGGTATGGGGGAACATGTCTCAGACCACTCCAACTCCCTCAGTGAACCTGGGGCAGGTCACTTCATCCTCTGGGCCTCGGAGCAGAGACATGTTTCCTGACTGAGGGCTGCCATGAGGATCCGACGACACTGGAGGCAGGCATTAGGGGTGCGACACAGAGTGCATTATGTAGGGAAGGGCTTGTTAGTTTTGGAGCTCTGGGAGACATACTATCTTCTAGGTTGCAAAGATCTACCATCTTTCTTTCAGTGTCCTTTTGCTCCCTCCTGATAGTAATAAACATTGAACTTTTTTTTTTTTTTTAAGAGGCAGGGTCTTACTATGTTGCCCAGGCTGGTCCCAAATTCCTGGGCTCAAGTGTTCTTCTGCCTTAGCCTCCCGAGTAGCTGGGAATATAAGCACATACCACTGCACCGTGCTACTACAGTGAACACTTATTGGGCACTTACGTGTGCCAGGCACTAAGTGTGTTCACATATGTTAGCACTCTTAGAATTCGCCAGCATTCCCTGGAAGTAGGTGGTGGTATTCATCCCCATTGTACAGATCTGAAAATTAAAGTTCAGAGGTCAAGTGGCTCAGGTTACACTTGTTGGTGACACTGAAAGGATTCAGACCCAGGTTTCTCCTAGCCCCAAAGTCCAGGCTCTTAACAGCTGTTCCATCTCGATTACAAAGCTCTGAAATACCTGGGTTCTCAATGATGCCATGACTTGGCCATTTGAGTATATCATTAATCCATTCAACACACATTTACCCAGTACTTAACCAGTGCCCGAAGTTTCCTAACACACGCATGCCCAATTCCATTTCCCAGTCCCTTGAGAATGTGACCTGAGGCTCAGCGAGTGATTTGTAAAGGTGAGCTGGCCAGAAAGGCTCTGCCTTCTCAGTGTCTCAGAGGAAAGTGGCCCAGGTTCCTGTACATCCCTGGGAACAACCTGCCTCACCTTCCCCTTCTGCCCAGGCACCGCCTCGCATTTACACTGTCCTATTCCTGATGATTATCTTTTGGAGGAGGGAAATATTTTGGGGGTTAACTTAACACTCTTTTGATTTTGGTTTTATACAATGGAAGGTGAAACCTAGGCCCTTGTGCGATTGAGCCAGCATTCTCTGTGTGTGTCTGTGTGTCTGTGTGTGTTTGTTTTAAGACTACAATTTTTTTTTTTTTTTTTTTTGAGACAGGGTCTCACTCTGTTATGCAGCCTGGAGTACAGTGGTGCGACCACAGCTCACTGTTTCTTCAACCTCCTGGGCTCAAGCGATCCTCCTGCCTCAGCCTTCTGAGTAGCTGGGACCACAGGTGTGCGCCACCATGCCTGGCTAGTTTTTGTACTTTCTGTAGAGTTGGGGTTTCGCCATGTTACCTAGGCTGGTCTCAAACTCCTAGGCACAAGTGATCTGCCCACCTTGGCCTCCCAAAGTACTGGGGTTACAGGCATAAGCGCCTGCACCCAACCTTAAAACTACTGTTAATTAGCACTTACTACATGCCAGGTGCTGTGCTAAAAAGTTTACACCCCTTATTTAACTTTACGTTCCTGACAACCGTAAGAAGAGGCACTGTTGTTATCCCTGTTTTACCAAGGTGGGAAACAGGTTCAGGGAGGTTAAGTCACACGGCCAGTAAATGGCACAGTTGGGACTCAAACCCAAGTCTGCCTAAAGCCAATGAACAGACTTGGGTGTGGGGTTCAGACCATAAATTCGTGTCCATCCATGTTCCAATTCCAGTGACTAGTCGATTTTCTGTGTTCTGTTGTTTATAAAGCACCAAAGTCCCTCTCACCCACTTGTGTTTGCTTGTTTGCCTGTGGAACAGAGCAAGGTGATGTCACAACACCCACCTCAGAGCAAGTGGAGAAGCTAAAGGAGGTTGCAGGCTTGCCTGACGACTGTGCTGTCACCGAGCGCCTGGCTGTGCTGGCCTTTCTTTACTTATACCTGTCCATCTGCCGGAAGCAGAGGTGTGTGCGTGGTCTGGGGAAGGAGTCCAGATTCAGCCTCCCATGGAGAAAAAGGAAGAGTTTCTGTCATTGCTGCTGGAGAATGCACATGCTCTCTTCTAGAGCAGCAGCCATTGGCTGTCCTCATCATGTGCCAGGCACCCTGCCAGGCACGGTATATATGGCGTGCCTTTTTTTTGAGACAGGGTCTCTGTTGCTCAGGCTGGAACGCAGTGGTATGATCTCAGCTGACTCCAGCCTCGACCTCCCAGGCTCAAGTGATCCTTCCACCTCAGCCTTCCAAGTAGCTGGGACTACAGGTGCGCACCACCATGCCTGGCTAAATTTTTAAATTTTTGTAGAGATGGAGTCTCACTGTGTTGCCCAGGCTGGTCTCAAACTCCTGGGCTCATGTGATCCAACTGCCTTGGCCTCTGAAAGTGCTGGGATTAGAGGCATGAGCGACTGCACCCGGCCCCAGCCTCTCTGTTGTTGTTTTTGTTGTTTTTGTTTTTGTCCAGAACCCAAAGGGAAAAAAACCTCAAGGGGGCAGCCCTTCCCTTGAGCAGCAGATGCTGGCTCAGTGGCCAGGCTCTATGCTGAGGACACATTCGGAAACGGCCTGATACTTGCCGTCCGAAGCAGAATTTCAACTTGAGAGAGGCATGTCCCCTTAAGTGGGTGAGGGGCATTCCAGAATCTTCCAGGCTGGGTGGGGTGGGTACGTGGAATTTGAAGACGCACATTATTACAATTTTTCTATTTGGGAAATGGGAAAAGCACTTCGTGGAAATTACCAAACATGAAGTTTGACAGTTCTTGCTTGGGGGAAATACATGTAAGATGTAGCGATTCGGACCTTTCTGGTGATCAAAAGCAGACCCGTGTTACACATGGTTGGGGAGCACCGTCTGGCGGGAGAGGCCCCGGTGAACACACAATCCTAGTGTGCGGTGGTGAGGCAGCGGTGGAGGGAGGGAGGGCAGGCGGGGGTCCTAGAAGGGGAGCCAGGAGGGTCTTTGTGGGCAGCTACGGAAAGTGTCACAGTGGAAGCGACATTTGATAAGGCCTTGAGAGATGGGTAGGGATTTCTCTGTGGGATAAGGAGGTGCACGGCTATTGCAGGCAGAGGGGCCAGCCTGTGCTCAGAGCAGGCCCACAGAAAAGCCTAGCATGTGGGCACAGGAAGGAGGTGGGAGAAAGGGGTTGACAGCTTGCCAGGTGCTTCTGGGAAGGGCTCTGGTTGAATGACCCAGGGATTTAAATGAACTTGATACCTGTTTTCTAGTTGTCTGATTCAGCATGAGTTCCTGATGTTCAATAGGGATACATTTGGGGTCAGGAATTCTCCCCCAGTTGAGAAAACTGGACCAGATGCTTGGAGTCAGGCCTGGGCCTGGCCCCTGGTTCAGTGC